>NC_000004.12:90739562-91042593 GCF_000001405.40 Homo sapiens | reverse complement strand
ATGTACTGAATATTAGTGAAAGACCAGAATTACCTGTATACCTTCATTAATGTATGCACAGACCTACTTTGATAAACTAAATAAGGAGACATACAATTAATTTTACCCTTAAAAAATACTTTGTAAAAGCAAACTATATTAGTCTGTTTTCATACTGCTATAAAGAACCGCCCGAGACTGGGCAATTTATTAAGGAAAGAGGTTTAATTGACTCACAGTTCAACTCCGAATGGCTGGGGAGGCCTCAGGAAACTTACAATCCTGGTAGAAGGGGAATGAAGGCACCTCCTTCACAAGGCAGCAGGAAGGCGAATGAACGCTGGATGCACTACCAAACACTTATAAAGCCAACAGACCTCGTGAGAACTCACTTGCTATAACAAGAACATCATGGGGAAAACCACACCAATGATTCAATTACCTCCACCTGGTCTGTCCCTTGGCACATGGGGTTTTTGGGGATTACAATTCAAGATGAGATTTTGGGTGGGGACACAGCCAAACCATATCACAAACAAAAACCACCATAAAAACGAGACAATATCTTGTTCATTCTTCCAGGTTAGATTTTATAACTGAATGACTAAAAAGCTTAATGAACACATCAAAAGGAAGACCATGGATAGTTTCAAAAGCTTAGTTTCTGATAAACTAAGAACTAACAAGTGGACCTCAGATGTGACATTGCGATCAGTCAAACAATGTCTGCGCATCCTCAGGAGCTTGGCAAAAATCCACAATGCTTTTCAAGTACCTGAAGCACATGTGAGTTATTTCTGAGGACAGAAGATTTGGCAGCATTATAATTCATGTGTACTGAAACAGGTTGTTGTGCCTTAGTTAAAAGGGCTGGAATTGACTTTGTTGAAATGTAAGCCAGGTATTTTATGCTGGCAAAATCTGTTCTGTTTCATTTGTGAAGGTGCTTACATTTTTTTTTCTTTTACTTTGAAAACCGGTAAGCCTGTAACACCTGGTAGCTGTCATGTCAAATTCAAATACTGCAGGCAATGGCATTGTCCATACCTGGGGATCTGTTGTACAGTCACGGGGATTCTTTGCTTCTAATTATCTCCAAGTGATGCATGTCTTTTCCATAGTTAAAACAAAGTATCGGAAATAAAGAAAATGTTTTTCAGAGTTTCTTTCTCTAATGTAACCCACAAAGCAATGCTAGCTCATAGAGGAAAAACAAAAAGTAATCTAGAACACAGGAGATTTTCTTACATAATTTGCCATTTCTAAGATGGTTGAACTGTCACTGACCAAAATGGATAATGTGTGGGAGAACAGTACAGACAAAGCATCAATCAGCTCTTTAAATAAAATTCAAATGATATGTGTAAAAACCTTCTAAGTCAGGGATGAGAACCTGGGACTTATGTCATGACTGATGGTGCCACACAAAAGAAAAATTGTGTAACAAAGCCCATTGCTTTCCTGATTCCTCCCCCTCATCTCCCCTAGTCCACCTGATACTACATTTTTAGTCTTTTAAAATTAAGAATTTTAAATTCCAATATAGATTTCTGTGAATTTCCAATTTAGTTAATATAATACAACTTTTTATTTCCTACCCTGTAAAAGATGCTAAAAATAATAATAAAGATTTGTAACAAACACAGTCAATTTTTCCATTTGCTAAGTTTCATCATCTTTTATACATTTGAACTTCATTGATAACACTTTATTCCCCTCCAAATAAAGCTTTTTAAAAATATGTCTCTCATCTCTTTTAAATACCTTTAGGAGCTCCCAGGTAGAAAGGGCAAAACTATCAGTGAAAACTCTCAGGAATGTGGCTCCATCCTGAGTTCCTTGTTTTATGTCCTTCTGTGAATTATCTGTTTCTCCCAGGACAGTAAATCAGTTTCTCCTGAATATGTTTGGTTTCCTGTTTGAAAATCTTGGGTTATTTTATTCTACTGGACTGGCCTATCAGTTGTCTGCTCTAAACATCCCACTGATGAGCCTCAACACAGCCTGGCTTGCACATCTTTTGTGCAAATGTCTCAAACATTATCTATGACTCTCCCTTCTACATAGGATGCCTTTTCCTTCTTTAGATTCTAGACTCTGCCAATATTTTCAATATGATTTAGGATAATATCCTTTCCCACAATATACACTCAGTATAGAGTGTTTGGTACAAAAATATTAGCTGTTTCTGGTGAGTCAAATCATCAGTTATCTTTGTCTCCTTTAAGGAATATTATTATTTGGCTATCACTTTATTATCTATGTCTCAAAAATCATTAATTCCAAAAAGATAAAGTTTCTTTTATGAATTATTTCACATTTTTAAATTAAAGGGCCAGGATAAATGAACAACCAAAATATCTAGAACATAGAAATTTCATGGAAAATATTAAGGCTATTATTTTTAAAAATATGTCATTTGTGCTTAAGATATTCTCAGACACAGCATTTATGTTACCTTAAAAGGTATCTGGAGACTCATGACCATGAGAAAGTAGTATGTAGCTATTTAAGCCTTGATTTTCTCACTGTAAATCTGTATTACTCCCTTATTGCTTTGTCTCTAATAAATTCAACCTGCTTCAAAGAATCAAACATATAAATTGGAGTCATTAAATATTAGAATAGAGTTTTTTGTTTATTTCTTTGAATTTTGGGAGTAAAGCAGGCCTTTCTACACATGACAACAAACAGAGGTGACTAAATTGAATATGTAAATATTTTCCAAATTTTGAAGTATGCATACTCTTCAGCATAGTAGTTCCACCTTTAATAACTGTCCTTATAGATACAATTGCTCAAATATGTTACGTGTATGTGTGTGTGTGTATATATATCACATACGTGGATATTATATATACATATATAATTCTACATTAAAAAATTTTTTACAGAAAGATACTCATATATATACACATTTTAGATCTATACATACATATACTCATTATAAATATATATGTGTATGTATGTATATAAACACACATACATTTTTTCAGCATTTAAAATATAGTAGCCAAATGGCAACAACCTAAATTGTCAAAAATAAGGGACCAGTCAAATACAATTTTACCATTTCCATTCAATTATCTATTACACAGCTATTAGAAAGAACAAGGTAGGCTTAATTTACTGATATTGGAAAGATAGCCATAATTTACTGGTATTGGAGAGACAGCCAGAACACATAATAAGAAAAAAAACACAATGTTGTATACTACTATAACTTTTTCACAGAACATGATCCCATGTTGGGCTTAAAGAATATGGAAATGAGCTGGGTGCAGTGGCTCATGACTATAATCTCAGCACTTTGGGAGGCAGAGGTGGGAGGATCACTTGAGCACAAGAGTTTGAGACCAGCCTGGGCAACATAGTGAGACCCTGTCTCCATAAAAAAAAAAAGAAAGAAAGAAAGAAAGAAAAAGTTGGACATGGTGGCACATGCCTTAGTCCCAGATACTCAGGAGGCTTAGGTGGGAGGATTGCTTGAGCCAAGTGGTTGAGGCTGCAGTGAGCTATGATTGTGCCACTGCACTCCAGCCTGGGTGCAGAGTGAGACCCTGTTTTAAAAGATAAAAAATTCAAAAAAGGAATATGTAAATGATTCTCAAAAGAAACTAAGAATCATAATTTTTAAGGCTGCAAACATTCTTAAAATTAGCCTGTTTAGGGTTCACTGATCAACCTAACATTTCTTCAGGGTTGCCTTTTGGCCAGTTCTACTTGTAGTTTTACTGTGTCCTCTTTCTGGCCACTGCAAGATATTTAAATTCTACCTTTCCCTTCACTCCCTTAATAAAATATGACTCCTATGTCATCTACATTTTCATTTCATATCATGATTTGAGTGAAGAACATAGAATTTATACAATAAACTTTGAATAAAAAGGGGGGAAATATGCAAGAATGAATCTGTCTTACTTTATGTGAGGTAATCCAACAATGTTTTAACCAAATCAAGTGCTAATCCAAGATTAAAAGAAATACTTAGATTGGAATATCAAGTCCAGGATCCGTGATCATCTTCATGTCATTAAAATTAATTGTTGTTTACAATATTTTGTTCTTTATTCATCCAACTTAATGGGGACAATAAATTACTTCAACCACCTCTGAAACCAAGGGTATATTTTTAAGAATTTTACTGTTTTCACATGAATCTTTTTATTTCTTTGTATTTTTAAAATATTTTGCTAATTGTTTATTTGTAGCCTTGGTTAAGGAACATTAGCTAGGGTTTTGAACCCCTCACTTAATTATATATTTTTTTCAAGCACTTTAGGAAACATTGTGTCATCTTTCATTTATAGAGGATTCAAATTAGCAATGTTTCATACTTGACTAATATTTCTTTACTATAAATGAAATGTAATGAAAATTTATTACACCAGCAATAAACTTCAGATGTTTAACAAGGACAGTCAGTACTTACTGCTCATGTACACAGAAGCAATTAATTCCTCTGTTATGTCAATGCTAGCATTTGGGTCTCTGCCTGGCTGGTAAAGAAACTCTTGTGGACAGGGTACCTTTCAATTGACGTTATCTCTATGATATAGTTGTCAGGCCCACAAATTAAGAGCTGAAGTATTGAAATATATTCATTTGGTCTCTTAATTACAAAAGCAATGTATATTCATTGTAAATATGATATGTATACAGAATAGTTTAAGAAAAAAAATTTTTCATATTTTTACTATCCAGAGATATGTCTGTTGTATATGCATATGTATGTTTCAGAAAAATTGATTCATTATAAAAGTATCATTCTAAAATTTCCATTTTCCTACTAAATATAGATATTCTGTAGTTATTTATTAAATAAATTATAATTATTTCCATCAAATATTTTTAAAAAATAAATGAATAGATTAAAAGATATATAGATACATATTTAAATATGCACACAAATCTTTCTCCGTGGAGTTATCTTTCTTTCATTTTTATGGCAAATACAAAAAACATCACAGAAATGTTGAAATAGGTTAAAATAAGAGGGGAATTACAAAGTAGGAAGGAGAGAGAAGAAGGAAAAGTAGAAATATCTATAACAAGGTGCTCGATAAGAAAAGATTAGTGCTAAAACAAAGGTTAAAGTGGAACACAATTAAAAATAAATACAATCTATCAGAAAATAGATTGCTTTGTCCTCCAATCCCAAAAGTTGAATTTGCTCCAGCTACATCTGAGATTTCTTAGAGAAGGAGGACAGGGGAAAGGCTTTGCTGAGAGACTCCTGCTCACCAGAGACAACCTTGTATCTGCTACTTTTCTTCAGGGTCACAGATCCCAGGTGGGGCCAGAAGCCTGACTCTAAGCTAAGGAGCATCTATGTGTGTGTGTGTGTGTGTATGTATGTGTGTGTGTGTGTGTGTGTGTGTGACAGAGATAGAAAGACACAAAGATTGTGTGTTGGGGGACAGAAGGGAAGAGCAGTATGAAAAGACAATGCAGAGACACCACCACTTGTCTGGCTATTCTAGCAGTTCAGGCATCAGTTTATTTTCCAACTATTTAGTTATTCATTTATTTATTTTTGAGACAGAGTCTCACTCTGTTGCCCAGGCTGGGGTGCAGTGACACGATCTCCAGTCACTGCAAACTCCCCTTCCCGGGTTCAAGTGATTCTCCCACCTGAGCCTCCTGAGTAGCGAGATTACAGGCCTCCACCACCACCCCTGGCTAATTTTTGTATTTTTAGTAGACACGGGTTTCACCATGTTGGCCAGACTGGTCTCGAACTCCTGACCTCAACTGACCCACCTGCCTGGGTCTCTCAAAGTGTTGGAATCACAGGCATGAGCCATTGCACCTGACCTATTTTCCCACTATAGTTCACCCTCCATTTCTTTAAATTTTGATCTCCATTTATCTAACTCCTTATTTTTTATTTCCATTCTAAGACATTTTTCTGTTCCTTTAAAGGAAAAATGTATCTATTTTTAATATTTCTGGTTTTATGTTTATATTATACCCTCACTTTAGGTTTTTACCTTTCACAGTTTGGGAAATAAAATGAGACTACTATATTTTGAAGGTGGAATGACACAAATTTAGGATCGTGGTTTCTGTCTTGAACAAATGAATGGCTGGTAGTTCCATTTACCAAAATGTACAATATTCTGATTTGGGGAAGTAGCAGTTTGGCAGGGAGTAGGAGTCTGGAGTTCTACTTTGGACACATTGACTTTAATATATCTTTAAGATATTGAGCAGAATATCAAAAAGAAAGATGAACATTAGAATTTATAGATTTAAAGAAAAATATTAATTTTGAAATAATCACAAAATTAATCATCAAATTAATTTTGAAACAATCTTACTTACATTCCTATGTAAATAAGAATGTTACAAAATACTGTTTCATGCCAAGTAAGTTTGTTATGAACAATGTTTTTCAATGAGGGAAGGTTGGTATCTTATGCAGTTGGATCTTTTGTTTCTTGAAATTGTCTCATATACTGTAGCACTTTTAGCATCTCTGTCCTCAGCTCACTAAATATCAGTGATTATTGAATCTTTGACAATGAAGCATCTGCTTCACACAAACATATTTTCAGATACCCCTTAGAAGGGGCATCCTGCCCACATCCGACTCCTGTGAGTTAAACTCCCAAATGACTTTTTACCACCACAGTTTACAGGTGCCAGAACTACTAGAATAGCCAGCCAAGTGGTGATGTCTCTGCAATGAGAATTACCAAGAAAACATACAAAGGTTGCATTTCTGAAATGTTTTTATTATTAAATCCTTATTTTGTGGCGTTTTAGGAGTGAGTTGTAATCAGCAGTTTGGGAATCAGTGATCTATACCTGAAAATATGAAACCCACAATTAAACATTGAGTTGGATCGCTTCTCAGCCTTTTGGCTAAGATCAAGTATAAACATTGAGTTGGCTGTTTAGAAAACCCAAAATTACCTACTACTTTGCTTTTTTGTTTTGATTTGATGTGGGGTGCTAGCTTTTTTTAAAAAAAGATAGAAGCCATGTTTTATATTGTAAAAATTTTTTAAAATATGAAATCTGTAAATAAAAAGAGAAGTACCCTGTAGCCCCTCCATCCCAACAATCCACACCACAGAGATTTCCGCGATAATAATCCCCAGTGGCATAAGCTTTCAGAGCTGTGCTTTGGCACAGTGCCCTTCAGTTTTATGGAGGAAAATATTCAACTACACTGTGCATTTACTCTAAGAATGTCACTGTTCACCACATTAAGATACATCATTTTCTTAAAGAGACCAAAGGATGATTTTTTTTCTCTGGACTCAGTTCCAGAAATATTTGTGTTTCTCATGACCAATTCATCTTTTCTTTCTTGTATGTGACTCCCATAATATTTTGGGGGATCCTAGATCTGAAATAAAGCTTTATTTCAGTTCCATGAATGTTTAATACTAATCTTTTGGTCAAATTCTAGCAAATGATGACATTCTTATGACATATTTGAAGTATATTAATTGAAATTCTTATTTTATCTCACTTCTATTTCTTATTTTATCTTTGACCACTGTGTCCCATCACTTCAGTCTTATGTTAGTATACCTTGATATTTCTTATACACTTATAGAAAACATTTAAAAAACCCTTTTTGAAACAAGCCTCACATACATAAATGCATGCACATACATGTGTTTTGCCCAGGCTTTGTCATCATGAAGAAAATGTCAAGCTATTTCTCCCCTCTCTTTTTCATGCAATTAAAAGAATTAAGGATTTTTAATCCCAGTATAGATTTCTGTGGACTTCCAATTTAGTTCAATATAATACAAACTTTTTGATTTCCTACCATGTAAAAGACACAAAAAATAATAAGGAATTGTAACTAACATTTTTAGCCTGCTTTTCAACTTGTTTTCCTCATCCTTTATACATTTGAACATCAACATCTTGATGTAAGTTAGATACTAATCATTTTACAGATGAAACTAGAGTGATATAAATGATTCTAAATTAAGTAACTTATAGACACACACAGCTATTCTGATATTCCATGGCCAAGGCTCATACAAATATTTCTCCATAATTCGCTCCAATAAATAGTAAAAAGTGCTTCAATTGGGGGGGGTGTATGAAATTTTTAGTTATTTTTAAATATAATTAAGGATGTGTAAAGTGGTTTAAAAGTAACAACTTGTGCTCTGGATATTCAAGCTTCTCATTGGAAGAATCAAGCTAGGATTTGTGGAAAGATTAGTATTTGAGATGAAGCTTTACATATTTTAACAATTTAAAAAGGTAGTCTCAATGAAACAAATTACATGAACAAAAGTGCAGCGTGAAGTAAACAAGTGGCATTTTGGGTAAAAAGTGATTTACTTAGTTAGCCTGAACTGACGGTGCATACTGAAAAGTCATAGGACTTAAGGCTAGGAAGACATTTAGGATCCTCCTATCATCTTGAATGTAAGACATCATTCACTGCTATTGCCAGGCAATGAATACAGCCTCTGCTCTTGCTTCAGAAATTCTGCAGAGACTACAGGAAGAGATCCTAAAATGATTGAGACAGTAAAGGCAATCTCATGTTTGTGACTGAGATTTATAAAATAGTGCTGGTATTTATAGCACTGAACTACCTACAGTTATTTAAAACCAATTCCAAAGGGTGCTTCCTCTTTGATGGTGGGACAATTGAGCTCTTATTGCCTTGTTGGTATTTATACAATAACATCACCAGGGACTTAGAGGCAACTCAAAAAAAGCAAATTGTCTCTGTGCAGCTTGAATTGGTCAATCATTATATTCCTTATATTTAGAGCAAACATCAGGCTTTTAATAGCACTTTTGAGTTACAAGTACTTCTCCTTACGGTGCTGCTGTAGCAGAAATATTTGAAGTTCTTTGACCTACTGATGAAGAAGCTTTAAAGACACTTCTGAGTCCGTAGTAAGTAAGCTATTACAACAGATTGCTCATCTCATCTCCGTGCTGCTAGATGCTTAGCCTGTTGCTATCCTGTGGCACAGAGTAGAAATGACAGGTCATGATAGCGTGAGTAGAAAACTGGGAGCAGGGCTTAAAATGAACAAGATAAAAAGTAGAATGAGGTCCATCCTTTACAATCTTCATCTTTCCAAGAAGTTATCTGTGCCCCCAGACACTGACCACACTGCTGGCTGTCTCACCCACATATACACTGACTTCAGGCTGGTTTCAGACAGAAGGAGGCAACAGCAGGAGACTGGAGTGCAAAGGAAGAGAGAAGTGGGATATTTCCTTCTACCCTTTTTCCCTGCTGCAATACTTCTCTGAAAGTCACTGCATCCCTCTAAGAAAATTCCAGCTCCTTTTCACTGGTCAGCCTCTCCATGACTCCAGCTCCACATGGGCTCTGATTACACTGTGCCCGCTGGGTGTCACTGGCTTCCAGCTGCCCCAACTCTGTCCATATTTCTGTAACAATGTCTTCATGAGAATATCTTTATTTAAACCATCTGTGTGTATTCTATTTCGTGCCAGGACCCTGACTGATACAGGTAGAATAGTATTACTTACAGTTTCCAGTATTACCTTAATTTGTCTCATTTACTTAATTAAAGTTTTTTTTTTGTTTATTTGTATGTATTTTCTCCTATGTTCGTCTCTCACAGAGTGTTTCAAAATACAAGTTAACTGCTAAAAAATGAAAGCTAAATATTATTTGACACCATTCCCGGGGAGGTGGAAGGAACTACCAAAGAAGTCTTGCTCTAGATCAGTAGTTCACCAAGTGTGGTCCCAAGCTACCTACACTGGCATCATCTGGAAACCAGTTAGAAAAGCAAATTCTCAGGCCCCATTCAAGACTTACTGAATCAGAAACTCTGGGGTTGGGCCCAAGTAATCTATATTTTAAAATGCCTTCCAGGCAATTCTGCTGCATATTAAAGTCTTAGAAACTACAACTCTTAATAACAATTAAGAAATATAATCCCTATTCCCCATAAAGTAAAAATCTTCAGTATCTCCCTATTTCCTGCAATCAAATCCAGTTATTACTTTAAACATTCAGCAGTTGACTCTACTTAACTTCTTGGTCAGTGTTCCTTCCTATCTATCAAAATCCTATTTGTTAATTGAAGTCTGACAAGAATGCCACTTGCCCTTAAATTATTTCTTGCTTTTCAAAGTCAGGATAAATCTGTCCTTTTTCTGCAATCGTACACGTTGCTAGTGCTGCATTGTAACACTGTGATGTACATCGTTTCCTTTTTCTCCTTTTTTGTAGTTTTCACTTAGTTTTCCTAGACTACTAGAATGCTATTGAGAGTACAAATGATGCTTCAATTTTCCTTGAATTATTTATTCTAGCATGATAAAATGTAGATGGGTTAGACATTATTCTAGGATTATCTGATTCATCAAAAATGCTGTTGATACCAAAAAATGCATGTTAACATATTCGCCCCCACAGTAAAATTATTTGAAGAAATGTATAACATGTAAGTAATATAAAGGCAAGAGAACTAATGGAAGTATATTATTAAAACAATATGTAAAGTTATGCAAAAAAGCACATTTTTGTTTTCCTTTCTAGACAATTGTTCTTTAACAAATACTGTTCTAGAATATAGTGCATTAAGGTGGGAGTATGAAGTCAGAGCTGGTTGAAGTGACAAAATAGCTTTTAAAATATTTATGACTCAGAAGTAATCACTGTTACTTAGAATGCAACATTAATCAAGATTAAAAAACATTAGGAAATATTAGGAAAAAATGTCTATATGACACATGAATGAATTTGTGGTGAAAGATAAATTTTTACAGCAGACATATGTTTTAATGATTCATTTATTTGATATTATATACTACCAAAATATCTCTATGTTATAATGTAGTCATTTACAAAATACTGCTATAAACAATCTGTGGTATTGTAAATCCTTACAGAATTTATGTAACTGCAAAAGAAAATTTAATTCTCAGAAAACCAGGTAATTCTGAAGAAAAAAATAGTGCTGAAATTATCCATAAGAGAGAAGTGGCCTAAAAGACTTCAATGGATCTACATTTTTAAGCGCCCCACAGAAAAATATAGTCAAACCAAAGTGAAACTTAGACGATTTTTATATGAAAGGTTTGCTATTTACTATGCTTATTGCAAACATTATGTCTAAGTTTTAGGGAGCTTTTATTGAATAAGCATTTGTAAGTCCTTGTTATATATCAGTCACCAGAGGGAATAAACACCTTGAAAATAAAATCCATTCATTAACTAAATGTTTATTTTCAAACATGTGTTTCCTTGTGCTACAGTAGACCCAGATCATAAAGTACTATTTAGGAGTAAAGCACTCATCCATGTAGGACAAAGGGAGTATTCCAGGCATTGTATCAGAAGAAGACTTTATCCCAAGATAACCTAATAAATTTGTAAGCTTAAGGCTATGAACAATTATGTGAAAAATTAATTACAGGTTTTATATCAAAATCAAGCTCATCCAGGCAGTGACATCTGTAATAGTCCGACTTATTTTGTATACTGCCTAAACGTGAACATCATATAATGAGCCACAGTGAAAAATATCCGCAACTTCACTTTTCCCAAAACAAAAACACTTTCACATAGAAATATGCTTTTGCTTCTCATTTTCCCTGTAAGCAATGGGAAATATTTGTAAGATGTCTGGCTAACAGTCTGAAACTAAATGAACTTTCTGAAGACAGAAGGTGTGACCATGAAGGTATTAGACCACTGCTCTAAAAACTGTGACTAACCAGATACCAAAAGAGGTCTAACAGAGTAATGTGTGATCATAAACCCTAAAGTAGACTTTCAGAATGGAATATTAATTTAAATTTAATTTATACAGCTTTTCACACAGCTTTTGGATTTACAGATGAAAAAAAAGAGATGAATTAATTTGCTCCATTTGGTTCTTTTTTTTTAATCAGAGAAACTAGAAATTGAGGTTTCTATATACATTTTTGCATTGTACAATGGACCCAATATGGCCCAAAACCAATTTGTTTGAAACCTCTGCAAATTCTTCTTAGTTTTAGTTTACCAAACTCCTGTTCCCTTTTTCATCATAGATTGAAAAGGTCACTTATTTTCCACAGAAATGAATGACCAAAGACCCTCTCTCATGAGTCCTGCCTCCACAGCTCTCTCATCCTCCAGGCCGGCATCAGCTCTCTTTTACTGTCTGTCCAGAGCTGTGCTGTCCAATAGCCACAGGTAGTTAGTTAGATTTAAATTAAAACAGAATAAGACTCAAAATGCAATCCCTTAGTCACAATATTCACATTTCAAGTGCTCAATAGCTATGTGTGCTTGTAGTTTTTATATTGAATACAGTAAATATGGAATATTTCCATCATCGCCAGTGTTCATTTGGACAATGTTGGCATCTCGATTAACTTCTTCAACCAATTTACATTTTTCATCTTTGGTTTTCCCTATTATATTGATAATGTGGTTTTCTGGCTTTTTAAAAAAAAATTTCATAAACTGTAATTCCCAATTCTGCAATTTTCTATGTGTTCTCTGGTGGGTTGCTTACAACAATTAATGGCTTACATTTTATGTGAAAAAACAGGTAGCAGTAATAATGATTGTACCATAATAACAATTATTATACCCTTTATGACTTGTTTTTATTATTTTTAATTAATGATTAATAGATAAGAAATATCAAGTTCAAAAATACAGTAAATATTGCAGAAGGCAATGAATCAATCAATATAAAGCTACAATATTTTAGTGGTACATTTTGTACATTGTTAGCAGTGTGAATTTAATGCCCATGCTTTTGCAGTGTGGTAAAACAAACATGGATCTAGAGACTTATCCATTTAAATAGAACTTACAGTACTGTTCTAAATGCTTTATATATATATTAATTGATTTAATCACCAGAACAGCTCATTGATGTAGACATAATTATTATTTTTACTTTACAGAATGAAAAACTGAGGCAAATATAAATTAGGTAACCTACTTAAGAATGTACAACTATTAAGGAGCAGGCTGGGATGTTCTAACTCTGACCTTTATAATTATTAGTTCTTCTATGACTTTGAAAAACAGGTCATGTAATCCCAAATCATGACAAGACTTAGGCAGGTCATGGACACACCCGTTTTTAAAATGAGGATAACTTTCATGGTTGTTATAAGGCCCTTAGAACACACTACCAGCATAGAGAAAGCATGTAGTAAATTCACTGAATGGAGATCTCATTCCCCCTGCTTTTCAAAAAGTATTTGGGTAGATTATTTCTAGTATCTAGCATTTAACATGTGCTTACTTGTTTTGAAATGATTCTCTTGTAGCATAGTTTTGCCTCGAGTATATAATTTCATCAACAAAGTATCTTTTACACGTTCATGTATTTTTATGTAAAAAAAAAAACCGAACGATAAGTACTGCATTAGAATTACTATTATGTATCAAACAGATTCCAAGGAAATAATTACTTTTGAGAGCAGAAATATGAATCTATTTAATGAGAAAAAAACTCAGATAACTATGACTAGCAGATTCACAGTCATTTCATTTGATTTCTATGAAGAGGATCACTCTATACTCTTTTTCCTGAGCTTGTTTTGAATTTATTCAATGCATTTACATATAATTTTATTCTAGCTTTAGTTCATATACTAAAATTAATGGTGGAATTACTGTACGACTACGACTGTCTTTAGAGGAGATTTTAGTTCAAAGTAACTTCATTCTTCTCCTGTATCTTTACTTTTTATTTGCTGAAGCTTATAATTGTCTTGAACAAAGTATTAATATGTATTAAAGCTTCTAAATTATGTTTCTGCTACATTGTAATGTGGATGCAAAAGCATTCCCTCTGGTTATGACTGCATCTGTCTCAAACCAACAATTTAATTTTTTCAGATCCATGGGGAGTCATGCTTATTATATTCACCAGGTTTAGGGCTTCGAGCATTAATTTTTTTTTTTCTGGACACATGAATAATCAAGGAACTGTTAACAAGCTCTAAAGAAACAAGTAGATTACTTTTGTTCATTAGTGGAGCATTATTTGACTCAATAAAAATTGTATTGCTAATATTCATTATGTCATGCTCTATTTCATTCAAAACATTATTTATTGGCATGCTTGGTAAGTATTACATATCAATGTCCACAGATAATAAAATTACTCTCTCTTTTGTTAGCAAATAGTAACTGGTCTAACGGCAGTAAGATGTGTCCTTTGAGTTATTTTGCACCAGTAGTAAAACATGCTAATTCAGCAATATTCCCCCCTTAAACTTGATCATTTCAAAGGTTAATAAACACATGAACATATGATTTGATCTCATCAGCTCCAAACTCTAGCCAACTTAGAATGCCAATATATAAGGGCAGTATATTTTATTTCTAAATAATGGATGAGAAGAGCACTCCATTCTGATAAGTATATGAAATGTTAATTTTTTAAATACAAGATTATTGTAGATATACATTGTATATCTTAACATAAATACGTATCTATATTTTTATATGTACATAAAACATACTACATATAAATTTTGGATATACAAGTACAGAAGTTGAAGGTTTTAGCTATGACAAATACAAGTATGTTCAATTATAAAGTTTACTCTAATACATCATTAGTGTGTTGTTGCTGAATTTATACATATTGTAGTTTCTCTTACCCCCTCTTCTTTTTTCTTTTCCATGTCCTAACTATAATGGATGCAATTACAATGATTAGAATATATTCAGCAGAATGACATTGCAACAGAGTTATAACGGACAGAATGTATTCAAGCTATTTCTGACAATATAGTTGTTTCTCCCTCTGCACAATTTGGCTTGTATGTGGTTTGACATGTATATTGACTCTTTCCAGGACTAAACACAGGTCCAATCACTAAAGAAAACAGGGCCTGGTTCCTTCTAATACAATAGCAAACTCCAAAGGCAATATGCCTCACTAAAATTAGAAGTAAACCCTGATCCACCAGCTGTGGCTAAATGAGAATGCTGTGTTTGGAGTGGGAAGGAGAGTTATAAATGCCACAACATTGCTACCGAAGCTTATCTCACCTTCAGGGTAAAAATAGGGCTGTGAGAATGACAGGTAGCCCAAATTATATTTACTGTGCCCCAAAAAGACATTTCACTTCATCAGTATAGATATAAAAGTAGTCTTTTGAAACATATATACTGTCTTTATTGATGGAAAAACTAGAGCACAAAGACATTTAACATGCATTTTATTCTGCATATGCACGACCTGTTATGATATCTTGAAAATAATTGCAATTTTCTTAATGAAAAAAGTAAAAAAAAACCCAATTAACTAAGTTAACTAACAAGGTTCATTAGTCATTACTTATGTGATTATCTCCCTTATTCCTAATTTTAGGATTATGTGTCTAGTAAATAAAAATGGAAGATGTGGTGACTAAATTAGAATTGTAGACAACCAATGGATATTTTCAGTATAACTATCTTCTATGGGACATAGTTATATTAAAATATTATTTGTTTATCTGAAATTAAAACTTAACTTGGAGCATCCTCCATTTTACCTGGCAGCCCTCTTTGATCTTGCCCAGTTCTACATGGGTAGTTACTAATAACACTTGTTTAAACACTACCCTTCTAGCAATAACATGAAGAGAAAATAATCTGCTCTTATTCATAATTCTGTTTAAAAATTTTTGTTTTAAAAATTATTTTTAAAATAATAGAAAATTTTACATTGAATTTAAAACTGTAATTTGTCTACAGGCTTCATGCCAAGCCTGGAGCTTTCCCATTTACGTAAATGCATCCAGTTTTTATCTTCACTGCCTAATAAGCCATACCTTTTATTAATACCTTTCAGCTAATGGGATGCAAAAACATGGCTTCTTCCTTTAAACAAAACTGTTTAAATCTGCTTAATAGCCTTTTACACTTTACACTAAGCTATTAACTCAAAAGTACTTACAGAATAAGTGCTAAAATGGTACCTAATGAAGTTTAATTGAAGAATAATCAGATCAGTTCAACTTGCTATCCCGTGTATAGAAAACCAAAGATTTTATTTTCTTACCTCCAAGAAAAAAGTCCTCATGGATTTGGAACATCTCATGATTTAAAATGTGTTTCTAGTCACATATTTCAAAGTAGTTTGGTATAATGATGGAATCATAAGACCATGAATATTACTAGACAACAAGAGAATAGAGTTTCATGAAATGTTGAAAATTCACTGACACTTAGAAAAACAGTAAAGTTAACTTCAAGGAATGATTTAAAACATGATTTTTCAATTCCAGCTCCTTTAGCGCTTCAATTTATTAAGGCCAAATACGTCTGATTACTTTATTATTCTTCAGTGAGGAGAAACCATAATAGGAGACCTAAACAATGGACATAGGAGAAAAAGGACAACTACAGAGAAACAGGAGAGAAAAGGAACAATGGCAAAGTTTATTATCATCTATAATTTATATGTCTGCAGTGTAAAGCATAAAAGCAAGTTTTAGGTGTCATGCATGTTCCTTTTAGCAAATGATATTCCAAGAAATGCTTGCATGTGTAACAATTTCATCTTGTACCTAATGTGTGAACACCCTAAGATGCAGAATGTGTTTAGCCTTCCATGGTCAATTTACAGGATACTAACAAGTAAACCAGTGGAAAGTCAAAGCACAAGCACAGTGCACTGAAACTGCCCCAGCAAAAGGCTGTCTTGTGTTTGTTATTCAGATTGTTCATCCCTCTTCATCTAGCCCAATCCTCAGTGAGTTTAGGCTGTGTTCCCAGGAAAATGAAAGCTTGTGAATTAAAAATAAACAAGCAGACAAAATCAAAACCAAACACACACATACACACACCCCTATACAGAGTAAAATTAAAAACAGAATAAGATTCTTTAATACACATGATTACCTACCAGGAACAGAAAACACAATTTGGGTTCCACTGCAACAGTGTGGCACAGAGAAAGGATTTCTCCCTTCTTAGCTCAGTGCAGTGGGTATTTCTCTCTGCAAAACATCCTGCTGTCCTTGGCACAGTGTTCTAGTTCTTACTGATTAGAGAAGTTTCAGGGGGTTCAGCTTTGCCACAAAATGACTTCAGGTAGTATCCACAGGATTTGCTACTGTTATCAGTTATAGTAGTGGCAACAACAGTGAAACAAAAATACACCTTCACAGGCATTTCTGAATTCCCAGGGTTCCTGAAGCCCCAGCATATAACATCATCTAAAAGTGCCAGCACATCATCTAAAAGTGCCAGCACAGAAACTGGAGAAAGAATGAATGAAGTGAAAATGAAAAATTCAATATGTATTTCTAAGAATATATAAGATAGTCCCTGAAGCTTTTTAGAAATAAGAAAGTGTGACTTTAAAGAATTGGAGGTATGTGAATTGATTAGAGACAGCTGGAAGAATATTTACTGCTTTTAAAACTATTATCCTATCTTTCCATTTTTTAAACTCCCAGGCTGGACACCATAAAAAAATAGAAATTACAAGAGACAAATATATTCTGAAAAATATTTGAGTCTATTCGATAAATCTTTACAATCTTCAGAATGCACATGCTCCTACAAAGGCTTTGTAAAAAGCTGTAACAGCTGGATAGCAACATTTCACCTTAAACAAAATTATTCACTCTTAAACACATTGAACAGGACAGACTCCTTTGTAAACACTGCACAGACAAATAAAAATACAATAGTGCTCTTTTAACATGAGCTTTTTTATATGATTGTAAGGTCATTTAAATAAAAGAGAATTACTAATATGTATATAATATACTAATAGTTGAAGAAGCTATATTCTTCTACCTGTCTCTCATCAACTCACATAACCTTCAATTTTTTAAAGTCATACCTGCTTATTTCTGAAAGTCTTCATGGACTATCTCATATATATTAAAATGTCTACAAGTTTGCATCATTCCTATAAATATAAATAGAAATAAGAGATAAAACTCTTATTGAACAAAATTTGCATATATTAATCCTATTTTGAATTAGAGAACTGAAATAAATCAGTACTTTATTTTCTTTTTACTGTTGATTAAGATTGATTATCTCAATCCACTGAACAATATTTAAGAATTAGAAACTCCTTTGGAAAAATGTTGGCACCAGTTAATGAAGGATTTTAGTATTCACAGATTTTACAGAGTTCTACTAATAAAAGGCAAAATCTCCTTTAATTTCTCATTAGAATTCACATTTAAAACTTTTTAAAAACTCAGTTTTTCTCAGAATTTAAAAAAAATAAATGTATTACAAACCATTTTTTGGTAAACACAATACAAACAAATTCTAGAAATAAAATTTAAAAGCAAAAACATACAGAATAGTTTTCTGTTTTTGTTATTAGCTTCAACAGACATAAAAGGATTTTATTAAATTTTTGTAAAAGTTTGTAAACACCTTACTTTCAGTTTCTAAACTTGGTATGGTTTTAATGTCCCCTTGAAAACTCATGTTGAAACTTAATCTCTAATGTAGCAGTATTGAGAGGTGGGGGGTTTAAGAGCTGATTGGATCATAAAGGCTCTGCCCTCATGAATGGATTAATGGGTTATCACGGGAAGGGAACTCGTGGCTTTATAAGAGGAAGAGAGACCTGAGCTAGCATGTTAGCACTGTCAGTCTCCTTGCCATGGGATACACTGTGCTGCCTTCAGCTCTCACCAGATGCACCCCCTTGACTTTGGACTTCCCAGACACCAGAAATATAATAAATGAATTTTGTCTCTTATAAATTACCCAGTTTCAGCTGTTCTGTTTTAAAAAGAAGAAAGATAGCTAAGAAAATACTTATATCATTTTGTATCAGCAACATTTTGTGGGTCACACTCTGAGAAACATGGCATTAAATGTTTCAATATATTTGTCAATTTTGGCTTTTGTTGCCATTGCTTTTGGTGTTTCAGACATGAAGTCCTTGCCCATGCCTATGTCCTGAATGGTATTGCCTAGGTTTTCTTCTAGGGTTTTTATGGTTTTAGGTCTAACATTTAAGTCTTTTAATCCAACTTGAATTAATTTTGGTATAAGGTGTAAGGAAGGGATCCAGTTTCAGCTTTCTGCATATGACTAGCCAGTTTTCCCAGCACCATTTATTAAACAGGGAATCCTTTCCCCATTGCTTGTTTTTGTCAGGTTTGTCAAAGATCAGATGGTTGTAGATATGTGGCATTATTTCTGAGGGCTCTGTTCTGTCCCATTGATCTATATCTCTGTTTTGGTACCAGTACCATCCTGTTTTGGTTACTGTAGCCTTGTAGTATAGTTTGAAGTCAGGTAGCGTGATGTCTCCAGCTTTGTTCTTTTGGCTTAGGATTGACTTGGCAATGCGGGCTCTTTTTTGGTTCCATATGAACTTTAGAGTAGTTTTTTCCAATTCTGTGAAGAAAGTCATTGGTAGCTTGATGGGGATGGCATTGAATCTATAAATTACCTTGGGCAGTATGGCCATTTTCACGATATTGATTCTTCCTACCCATGAGCATGGAATGCTCTTCCATTTGTTTGTATTCTCCTTTATTTCTTTGAGCAGTGGTTTGTAGTTCTCCTTGAAGAGGTCCTTCACGTCCCTTGTAAGTTGGATTCCTAGGTATTTTATTCTCTTTGAACCAAAAGCAATGGCAACAAAAGCCAAAATTGACAAATGGGATCTAATTAAACTAAAGAGCTTCTGCACAGCAAAAGAAACTACCATCAGAGTGAATAGGCAACCTACAGAATGGGAGAAAATTTTTGCAATCTACTCATCTGACAAAGGGCTAACATCCAGAATCTACAATGAACTCAAACAAATTTACAAGAAAAAAATAAACAACCCCATCAAAAAGTGGGTGAAGGATATGAACAGACACTTCTTAAAAGAAGACATTTATGCAGCCAAAAGACACGTGAAAAAATGCTCATCATCACTGGCCATCAGAGAAATGCAAATCAAAACCATAATGAGATATCATTTCACACCAGTTAGAATGGCGATCATTAAAAAGTCAGGAAACAACAGGTGCTGGAGAGGATGTGGAGAAATAAGAACACTTTTACGCTGTTGGTGGGACTGTAAACTAGTTCAACCATTGTGGAAGTCAGTGTGGCGATTCCTCAGGGATCTAGAACTAGAAATACCATTTGACCTAGCAATCCCATTACTGGGTATATACCCAAAGGATTATAAATCATGCTGCTATAAAGACACATGCACATGTATGTTTACTGCGGCACTATTCACAATAGCAAAGACTTGGAACCAACCCAAATGTCCAACAATGGTAGACTGGATTAAGAAAATGTGGCACATATACACCATACACCATGGAATACTCTGCAGCCATAAAAAATGATGAGTTCATGTCTTTTGTAGGGACATGGATGAAGCTGGAAACCATCATTCTCAGCAAACTATCACAAGGACAAAAAAACCAAACACCGCATGTTCTCACTCATAGGTGGGAATTGAACAATGAGAAAACATGGACACAGGAAGGGGAACATCACACACCAGGGCCTGGTGTGGGGTGGGGGGAGGGGGGAGGGATAGCATTAGGAGATATACCTAATGTTAAATGACGAGTTAATGGGTGTAGCACACCAACATGGCACATGTATACATATGTAACTAACCTGCACATTGTGCACGTGTACCCTAAAACATAAAGTATAATAAAAAAAAAGTTTCAATATAAACTGATTTTGAGAATATTCACAATTACAAGGTTTAGAAAAATTTAATCATTTGAAATATACCATACCTATATATGTTGTATTTCAGTCTATATATTTGTTTATGCATATAGATATGTACACATATTAACTGAAACTGAATTAATAATTCATCTTAATTCTTTTTTAAAAAAAGTGTGCTTTGCTTTCAAGTTTCCCTTTTAGAATGTTGTCACTGTTCCTGCCAGTTGTGATGCTGTATGATTAATTCGTGGTTAATGGTTTACAGGAAATTTACTGTACATCATTTGTTCCTATGTCTTTTACAGTTTCTGGGACATAGTAGATGGTCAATACATAAGTGTTGAGTAACTGAATGGTTCAGCCTAAGTTAATGGAAAATCATAAAATATTTCTATTGAAAAAGACACAAAACAATGTTTTTGAATAAAAATTGAAAAATAATTATACTTTGACTCATCTTGTTTTATAAAAATATATGCACTGAAGATTAGATTGCAAATTTACACTTTGTCATTGCAAATTAAAAAAACTATTTTTAAATCAAAGTTGATATCTAAAGATCAGTTTGAAATATTTATGGTTTAAATAAATCATCTAAAGTCAGTGTCTGTATTTTTTACAAAGTCTGTCATTTCTAATTTTTTTTGCATAAAAACAATCTGCAGCAATAGTTCTTGTTTTTTATCATATATATTATCTCATGGAAAGTATCATTTCAGACTCTTGGCACAATATCTCCCTTTCCTTCTAATACTGACTTAGAAGTCATTGAAGAAGAAAGGAAGGAAGAAAGAGACTAAAAGAAAATAGTCAAACAGATTTATGTAAATAAACAATGAGAAATTTTAAAATTTCTTTATGATATTAAAATCCAACCTTTCCAATTTTTCCTTGTATCTATATAGGGATTTAATTTCAAAAATAAGTTGGCATAATCTCATAATGGAAGGGAGTTACCTGTAAAAAACCTTTCTTTAAGACACTAACTTTGAAGTATCTCGTTTTCTTAACGATTTAAAGGAATGTAGCTAGTAGCTTGGGTTATTTATCATCACAAATGTTTTAACCTTTCCATTAGATATAGTGTATAGTAAGTAGATCGCCTTTAAATAAGGCTCAAGGTCTTTGAGTATTAGTTTCCAAGTAGAAAAAACAAGACAAAACAGAGAAAACAGAAGTACCTTGGATACTTATTTCTAATGCCAAGTTGGGAAATAAGCATAAGATGAAGTATATTTTGTATATATACACAAATTACAGATTTTCTAATATTTCCTTGCTCTTATTTCTTGTTCTTATAAGTTGTCAAGGTATGTACTTTTTTTTTTTTGAGACGGAGTCTCGCTCTGTCACCCAGGCTGGAGTGCAGTGGCGCGATCTCGGCTCACTGCAAGCCCCGCCTTCTGGGTTCACGCCATTCTCCTGACTCAGCCTCCCGAGTAACTGGGACTACAGGCACCCGCCACCACACCCGGCTAATTTTTTGTATTTTTAGTAGAGACGGGGTTTCACTGTGTTAGCCAGGATGGTTTCAATCTCCTGACCTCGTGATCCACCCGCCTTGGCCTCCCAAAGTGCTGGGATGACAGGTGTGAGCCACCGCACCCGGCCAAGGTATGTACTTTTAAAGACTGGCACAATGTTTATTAAAGTCACATGTCGATAATTAGAGAATACTTACCAAAGGGCAACATATCATTCAAGAAATAAGTGTACATATCTTTGCAAGGGATGTGGGTCTGTAGCAACATCTATGACATTGAGGTTATATCACTTCAGTTTTACATGAACATTTAAATTTGAACTCTAAGTACAGAAAAAATTCCATCTTAAGTACATATTTATTTTCAAAGTGAAGCTTTTCTATTAATTTTTTGTCTTGGCTATTTTTATTCATTGTTTTCCCCCAAGAAATTTTAGGTATATTATAATTCTTACTCTCAATAAATGGGAGCTCTGATTAACTCTCATTTAATTAAAGTTCATGACAATTTCTATTTTTGACACATATCATCAGTTTGAAAGTATATACGTTCTTTCTTCTTTAATGGCTATTAAATTAATATAGCATATTTGTACACAGTTGCCCATAACTGAAGAGCAAGTCTAAAAAGAAATAGCAATGTGTGATGACAAAGATTTACTTATTTACTTATGGGCAAAACCATTATGCTGTCTAAAGCCAGTCTGGCATATATTGTGCTCTAAGGATCCCATTTATCAATGACTCCTGTGGCATTTCAGGGGGGATTTTCATGTAATTCGCTTCTAAAGTCCATGTAATATGCCTCTTCTGAGTGAATTACATACATTGTTATTCATCATTATTGATTCCTGTCTCCAGCAGTAAGCAACAGATACAAATCTGCTTATGAAAGGGAAGAAAAGCTGGGAGTGTGCATTATTAAACATAACTGGAAGCACAGGTTTTACCTTATTTGTCTTATAAATCATCATATGGATTTTGAAAAACAAGCACAAAGTTGATAATGTTGTTTACTATGCTCTCAATATCAAATAAAATTCCAAATTTATTATTAAATTAATAAAAAACTCAAGCAGTAAGCTAAAATAATTCGTGTTTTTAGAATCAATAAGTCATGATGATGTCTTCTGTAATGAAAAATTAGCAAAAGTAAATTCTAAATAGCTTTACATAGAACCCATGGATATAAGATTTGAAATTTGAAAGTAGCCCAGTGTGGAATATTTTAAATGAGAGAGACAGTCCAAAATTGATTTTATAAATTAATTTATAAATATATTTGTTTATAGAGGCATAAGAAAATAACTTGTTCTAAAAATGAGAATATTAAAAGGAAGTATCTTGAAACAGCACACCGAGAAAAAATTGAAATCTGAAATAGTAAAAATAAAAATATCTATTATCTTATTATATTTGAATTCACAGCATTCTAGACATTCATTTAATGACCACTTATTGAGAGACATTGTCAGGCATAGCAATAAATGATAGAGATGAAGGTGGTATACTTGATCTGTCCTCTCATACAGAGCAGTATAGAAGAAATAGTGAATTAAATAGGACATTATCACAATAATATTTGATTAGCAAAGTCATAGGGGAAGTACAGTACTCTGTAAGAATGCAAAGTGGGACATCCAACAACATCAGCAGTCAAGGAGACCTTCTGATGGAAGTAACATTTGAATTTACAACACTTAAATTTATCGAAAAAGTAAGGGTTGGTCCAGGTAGGTGAAAATAAAGATTAGGAAGTAATATATCAAGCAGAGGGGGTTCAGCATGAGAAAGGACTCAGGTGTCTGAAACATTGGTATTGAATTTACACATCAGTAGAGCAAGAGCTTAGCATACTAGAAGCGTCACAAGAAATAAAACCAAAGGGTAAGCAGATGCCACATTATGCAGTGTTTGATAACCATGTTAAGAAAAGTTATGTTACCCTAAGGGTTGTAGAAAGCAATTAAGGACTATAAACTAGGGAATAATATGGCCAAATATAAATTTTAGCTAAGATGACTCTGCCTGCTAAGGAAGTTGGATTATGGTAACTTGAAGTCATAATCCAGATTGCAGATAAAGAGATAATTCAGGAAGCTTAGTAGTACAAATGAGAGATGAAGAAAACCTACATATTTGGAGATAAATTCAACCCGATTTGATAGTTGATTCAAAGCAGGGTAAGAAAAGACGGAGGGCAATGGCTTTCTAGCTTCAGTGGTACCATTTATTAAGAAAAGAAATACTAGAGAAAGTGTAGTTTTGTTTTGGAAAGCTATGCTTTGAGTGAGAAAAGCAAGTCTGAAGCTTGTGGTAGAGTACTGAGCTAAATAAATAGATGAAAGAATTGTGCGAAGTATTAATTTGAAACAAAAAACATGCTCATGAGTGAGATTTCCCAGAGAAAAAAACACAATCATTTGATAGTTCTATATGTTTAATATACTGGAGACTTTCTAAATAAGATGAATTATTTCATCTCCTTTCCATCCACATTCAGAATCAAATCACCATAATAATCAAATGTTCCTAGAAAAGATTATTAAATACCACTCCGGAAGCTGAGGCAAGAGGATTGCTTGAACACAGGAATCCAAGACTACAGTGAGCTATGATTGTTATTCAGCCTAGGGTGACAGAGTGAGACTCTTAAAAAAATTTATACACACACACACACACACACACACACACACAATTTAAAAACCATAATGTTAATACGAAGACAGTACTGGCCTTAAGACACAGCAAATGTCAGATTCCAGAATATGTGACAAACTTAGACAAATTTCTAAGTTATTTCATTGAAGCCCTCAAAATGTACTTTACTGAATTTCCTGCACCTTCCTTTACTTTTTCCCCTTCTCATACATCCTGGAAATAAGAAATATCATTTAGCCCTGTAGGTAAGGCAACCTGGATACTATAAACTCTGACATATTCAAATGACAGGTTAAGAATACATTTCCTGATAACTAATGGGGACTAGACTTAACACCTAGGTGACAAAATACTCTGCACCACAAACCCCCATTACACGAGTTTACCTATATAACGAACCTGCACATGTACCCCTGAACTTAAAAATAGAAGTTAAAAAAAGAATACTTTTCCTGCATAAATTCAATTTTCAATTAACAGGGATACAATGGAAGATCAAGGTTTAATGTACAATGTCTTTAGTGAAGTTTCTAGACCTTTTACCTCCACCGATTCTGTTCTCTTTCCCATCCTTCCCCATTCGTGTTGTTACAAAACTTGCTCATTTTCCTTGGGCCTCCACTTCTCCCTCATCAGGAGAAGGAGGGGAAGAGTTAGGAGGTATCCAGAGCTGATCTTACTTCGTTTTCACTAAGAAAATAAAGACCATGACATAGAAAGTCATCAATTTTTTGCCCTTGTATACTGATTATGCTCTCCCTCAATTATCTTATCAGTTTATTAATTTATTCCTATTACTCCAATATTAAGTCTCCTCGGGAGGCAGGTACTTTTCAGACTTAGACCAGTTTCTCTTCTATGAACTTTATTCCTTCCTGTATTCTACAAGATTTTTCCTTGTCATTTTCTTCTCTCCTATATTCAAACTCTCCTCCCCTTATTCCCACTTTAATACATGAAAATGCTTAACTCACACTTTAAATAAAAATCTAACTATTTAACTAAAGAAAATCAAAGAGCTACAACTACAAATCTTTCTAACACCATATCTTCCCTGCTAGAAATTAAGCGGGAAGTGGCTGAAGTTAGGGACATGTAATTTATATCTGCATATAAAGAACATAGGACAGTACATTTTATGTATTTGAGCAGAAATTTCCTTTTGTATTTTTAAAGAGTATGTACATACACTATTAACAATGCATATATATGTGTATATATAAAGAACATCAACATCATAACAGCTATTAGCCATGATACATAATTGTGTTAGGAAGAAATTAATTTTTTTGTTATATGGTCTAAAATGTGCAATAGCTACTACCACAGTCATAATTGTGGCAAAGGTGATAGAAAAAATGATGATAATAATAAGGAAGTTAATTTTGACAATGATAATACTGATGATTATTTAAAACATATGTCTGAAGTCTGTAGCATATTTAAAATGTGCAAGGAATAATTATTCTGTTGCTTTCTAAAGTCAATGAAAATAATCATATATAATTGTATTTATTCTGCCGATACATTCAGAATGAATTTCAGGAGCCTTTAAATAAATAAAATAGTATAAAACTTTATAAATCATTTCACTGAGATTAAATTTATTTTGTTAATATTAATTTTGAAAAGATAAAAAGTACGTTTATAAAACTTAGAGCTATTCAACATCATCCAGTCAACTTCAAATAAAAATGCAGTGACATTAAAACTATAATTATTTTTGTTAGTTTTTTATAAACATTTCCTAGTGTTCAAAGCCAACAGCTTGTGTAAAATGCATAAATGTAGACAGAGAACTCGTGATCCAAGAAATCTGTTCAGTAATAAGTATTCAGACGAATGAACATGAGCTGTTTTAAATGAAATCTTAATAAATCAAGTACCAAGCCTACATAATTTTTCACATTTACACAAAATGCTATTAAACTTAGTCCTTAATGTTTTATATTTAATAGTTCTAATGTTCCTGTAAATATAAAATTCAAAATATTTCAATAGCTGGAAAACAACAATTTACAAGAACTGAATATGAATCTTTTCAGGCACTGAAGTTGAATGTTTTCCTCTAGTTATTGCTGAATTGCTTTTAATACATTTGATCTAAAAATTAAGGATTAATATTTTTTTCTGAGTAAAAGAAATATTTTATATAGCAAATTGCTAATATGTTTATAGATTTTATAATAGGTACCTGTTTATAAATATTTAAATATTGTATTTTTTCAAACATAAAAATTAATTTACATAATAATAAAGCAACTATAAAAAAGTGAATGTGAGAAAAATCAACCCACACAAATAAAAATATAACTTACACTAAAGGATTAATAAAACTTTTATAATTTCATACCTAAAGGCATCTGGTTTATGGATTATTCAGGTCCTTTGTCAAAATTAATTTCCTTCCTTTCTTCCTTCTGTTTATTTAAATAATTAGGACTCTAACTCCTTGTGATGAGCAGAATAGCAGCTTATCACGGTAGCCTATTAGTTAAAGCAAATTGATTAAAAAATGAATATTTGAAAAGCAGTAGATCCAATTAAAATTTTTCATTATGTATTACTTTTTTGATATAACCTTACTTGTACTAATATAATAAAGCACATAGAACTTTCCTTGCATGTAATCTACTTCAGTTGAAGATAACCACATGTTTTTAATGAAAACATCCTTTCTGCAATGTTATTATACTCACATTACATAATGGTAAGATGAAGTATTTCACAGACTAACATCAGTTAATAAATATGGGATGGATTCAAGTATAGCTTGTTAATTTTCCTCAGCAAGTGCTTTATTTTGGGCCAGTGAACTATACAGTAAGTTTGTATTGATATTGTATTTTTTCCTTAAAAAAAAACAATTTTGAAGAGTAATTTATCTGCACAATTTCCACTGTAATAAACTATGGGTTTGATTCTCTCCAAACTTGAACTTTTCTGTTTCTCTGTTTCAAATATGTCACCTTCCAGTCCTATGTGGACAGAATCTAATCATCTTTGTATGGCAACTCAAATTTTGCAGAACAGAAAAAATATTACAGTATGCCTTTACACTATTTGTTATTTTTAGCAAAATTCAAGTGAAATATTTGATTCTTAATAATCTCTCATTTAAGATTATGTGTGAAGTAGATTTCTATTAATATTTTTGAATGTATGTTTACATTTGCTTAGACTTTGTCAAAAAATAAGAATCTGGCTTTGTTAAAAAGCAGCAAGAAAATGTTTGCATCATGCAGTTAGTATAACTGCTTCAGATAAGGTTATTATAAAAGGATTAGCTGGTTAGTTCCTAGAAGAATTCATTAGGTAATAAAACAATGTTTCCAGAGTAGAACTACTATAGAATATAATATTTAAAGAATGTAGCAGATTTTATAGCACAAATTTAGGAGTAGGACGTGGTGTGGAGAAGTAGAAGCAGTAAAAGTGACCAGAGGTACTCTAAGGGTAGGAGAAACAATAAATTAATAACAGATAAAAAGCTGATGGCCCTTAGGCTTTTAACAAACCAATCAGAATTGGTCCTTATAAGTTTTGCTTTTTTAATTTTCATATGTCAATGTTGGAAAGCTTTAATCTACATTTAAAAGATAGCTATAGATTTCTGAGTGTTGAGAGAGAGCATGGATACTAAATGATGGTCGCCAAAATCTTTTCCCATGTCAGGTATAAAGGAGGAGAAAAATCTGCAGAAATAAAGTAAAATCCCGCTAAAGAATATTTTTCCTAAAAATCTCACTCTTCCAAGCATTAAGTGATGTCCGGGCTTATGTATTCATGAAAGATATAACATGAAGGACTCTTGTTATGTGTTTGGTTCCTTCTTATTTGGTTCACAATTCCTATGAAAATCCCTTGGCATTTTTTTCAGAAATACAAAACAACAACAACAACAACAAAAACAAAAACAAAAAAGTGTGCCCGGAGCGGTGGCTCACATCTGTAATCCCAGCACTTTGGGAGGCTAAGAGAGGCGGATCACGAGGTCAGGAGATTCAGACCATCCTGGCTAACACAGTAAAACCCCATCTCTACTAAAAATACAAAAAAAAAAAAAAATACAAAAACAATAGCTGGGCGTGGTGACAGGTGCCTGGAGTCCCAGCTGCTCGGGAGCCTGAGGCAGGAGAATGGCGTGAACCCGGGAGGCGGAGCTTGCAGTGAGCCGAGATCGCGCCACTGCACTCCAGCCTGGTTGACAGAGCAAGACTCCATCTCAAAAAAAAAAAAAAAAGAAAATCTTAAAACTCATCAGGAACCACAATGGAAACAGACAGACTAGCAAAAAAATATATATATATATATGTCTTGAGAAAGAACAAAAAAGCTGGAGGCTTTACAATTCCTGGTTTCAAATCATATTACAATGTTAAAGTAATCTAATCAGTGTGGTACTGGCATAAAGACAGACATATAGAACAATGGATCAGAATAGGGAAGGTTGAAATAGACTTATGCATATATAGTCAAATGATCTTCAACAAGAGTGCCGAGACTATACAAAGGTGGAAAAATAATGTCTTCAACAAAGAGTGTCTGGAAAACTAAATATTTACATACAAAAGAAAAAATTGGACCCTTATCTTAACACGATACATAAAAATCAAGTCAAAATGAATTAAAGACTTAAACATAAGACTTGAAATAAAAAAACTCCTGGAAAAGAGAGTGTGACATTAGCAAAATGGTTGATTAGAAGCCCTTATCTTTCGTTCCCTTGACAAATACAGTCAAAACAATGAATAAACAGCTATGTTTTAATAAAAATAACTAAAGAAGAGCACTGGAGTACATCAAAGGAGTATCAGAAACCCTGGAGAGAAAGGAAAGCCATGTATAAAATAAAATAAAACACTTGGCCTCAACCACCCCATCCCCCTGCCAGGGTCAGTTTGGAACCAGAAGGAACTTCTTCTTGTGGGGAAATGGTAAGCAAGAGGACACCATCAGCCCACATTAACACCTTGGACGCCTACAGTCCTAACCACTGGGGACCCCTGCAGTCCTTTCAGGCACTAAGGTGAGCTGAGAGCCCTTCCTAGTGTTCAAATAGCTATCCTCCCCGAGAGAATAAGCCAACACCATCCCCCTGGTCCCTGTAGCCCATGTGGCTACTATTCTACATTATCTTAGAGTTGGAAGTACTGTTGGAGTGTGTTCTGTTGTAGCAGTGTATGGCCTTTGTACCCTTCTACCCTTGAGGCTTAGCTACTGCTGAACTACCCTGGCCCAGTGGCCTGACATCCCCCAGCCAAACCTCCAGCTCCTACTACACCCTATCCATGGGGTCAAGCAGCCTTAGAGGTACTTCACCCACCCTCCCCACCCAGACACAGCTTTGTCCTGCTCCCTCAGGACTGAGTTGAAATTGCATACTTCCTCTTGCAAAAATGATTCCTTTGTGGAGCCCCTCTTTATGCCCTTCCCAGTCACTGCTGTGCCCTGTCCCTTGGGGCCAGAGGTAAAGCTGCACAGTGCTGCCTGGGGAAAGAGTGCCTTGGCAGAGCTGCTCCATGTACCCCTCCCAGTCACTGCTATGCCCTGTCCCCTTTGCTAGAGCTGAAGTGGTACCCTGAATCCTGGGGAAACAATGCTTTGGCTGCAAAGAGCATTCACACTACCCTGTGCCTGAGTAAAGCTGTACTGTACCTCTGGGGAAAATACCCTGGCTACCCTGAGAAGTCATAGCCCCTGAGCCTGGGCTGAAGTGGCACATTGCCTCTTAGAAAACTGGTGCCTTGGCCAACCCAAGCAGTCACACATCCCAAGGCTGAGCTACTGGGGAAGCCTATTTCCCAGGAAAAGAGCAGTGGCTGAGCTGAGACACCTTACCCAAAAGGTCAAACAATTCTAGTACTTAGCTTCCCTGGAGCTGTATTATCTCCCTAGAGTCTAAGCTGCAGAAACACCCACCTCCTGAGAGGGAGTGAAGTCATTATTGTGCTGCTCCCTACCACCCGGGCCCAAGCCACAATTGTGTTCCACAATTCTATGCCTTGGCTGTTCCTGTACCTGGCTTCATACAGTCTGGGATAATGCTCAGTCCCACCATCCTAGGGCCCAGAGTCACCACTACACAGTGCCTCATTCCCTGAGACCTGAGTTGCCACTGAGCCCTATTGGCTCTGGTACACAAATTGCAGCTACACCTTGCTCCTTGGGCCCAAATCTCCCTTTCCTCCCCAGAACTGAGCCAAAGTTGTTGCCCTGTTCCTCAGGGTTCAGTGTCATAGACACAACCTGGTCCTCTGAGCCCAAGCTGCCAGGGGGTGCCTTAGAGTCAGAGACTTTGGCTCTGTGAAGAATCTACATTCAACTCTGCATCAGAGAGGGAATCTACAGCCCAAGACTCAGGTGCCACAATAGGTTCTTGACACCCTGAGTCTAGGACCTTGGCTCTACAGCTGTTCTGAGCACCTGCATTCTGGAACCCAGCACTGCTACAGATTGTAGGCCATGTCACAGCTTGCATGCCATGTCAGATCCAGCACCAAGAGAGGTCCCCTAAGCTAAGTATCCCTATTTTGAAGGAAATGAGAATGGGAGGACCCCAACAGCCCTTGCCACGAAGGAACTTAATAACCTATGCTACCACTGCCACCACAAACTGCTACAACCTAGGCCACAGAGGCACCCACAGTCATCACTGATGTGAATTGCACCTGAAGAAGCTGCACTGGAGGCTGTACCATTGCATTTACTCAGAACCAGAGTCACCACACTCTTCCCAAACAGCGCAGTTAGACTCATCTGCAGGTGAAAGTCTTTCCCTTCAAAAGCCACTCAGTAAAATTTGGAAGAAGTAATTTCCAGACCTGATTCAGACATCAACATGGAGACACAAAAAACATGAGAAACAAAGAAAATATGACACCCCAAAGGAACACAGTAACTGTCCAACAACAGACCCCAAGGAAAAATAAATCTACAAATTTCCAGAAAGGGAATTCAAAATCATGATCTTAAGGAAACTCAGTGAGATACAAGAGAGTACAGATAAACAATTTAATGAAATCCAGAAAACAATTCATTATCTGAATGATAAATTTAGCAAAGAGATGGATATAAAAAAGAAACAAGCAGAAATATTAAGAGGTGAAGAATTCAACAAGTGAAATGAAAAAATACAATATAGAGCTTCAACAGCAGACTAGGTGAATCAGAAGAAAGAATATCTGAACTTGAAGATACATCATGTAAAATTACCCAGTCAGAGGATAAAAATGAAATAAGAATGAAAAAGAATTAAGACAGCCTGTGGGACTTATGGGACACCATTAAGTAAACAAACAATATTATGGGATTTCCAGAAAGGAAAGCGTCAAAAATGGGGCAGTAAGCTTAGTTAATGCTGTAATTGCTAGAAACTTCCCAAGTCTTCAAAGAGATATGGATTTCCAGATACATGAAACACAAAAGTTGCCAAACAGATTCAACCAAAAATTGTCCTCAACAAGGCATTTGTAATTAAACTGTCAAAAAGTAAAGACAAACAGGGAATTTTAAAAGAAGCAAGAGAAACACATCAAGTCGGATGCATAAGGTAATCTCCATCAGACTATCAGTGGATTTTTCAGCAGAAACTCTGCAGGCCAGTAGAGAATGAGATTACATATTCATTGTTCTGGAAACAAAAACAAAAACAAAAAAAACCCTGCCACTTGGGAACACTATATCCAGCAAAGCTATCCTTAAGAAATGAAGGAGAAATAGTCTTTCTCCCAGACAAGCAAAGGTCAAATAATTCATCACCACTAGATTTTCCCTAGAAGAAATTCTTAAGGAAGTTCTTCAAGTAGAAACAAAAGAACACTAGATATAACATAAAAATTTTAGAAAGTAAAAAATTCTCAGGTAAAGGTAAATATACAGTCAAATTCAGAATCCCCAAGACTGTTATGGTGCTCTATAAATAGTATATATATCTTTAGTATAAATGTTAAAAGTCAAAAGATTCAAAAATAATGATAGCTGCAATAAGTTTTTAAAATTCCATAATATAAAAAGATGTAAATTGTGACATCAAAAATATAAATTGTGGGAGGGAGGGTAAAAATCTAGAGGTTTTGTATGCAAATTAAGTTAAGTTGTTATCAGTGTAAAATAGTCTGTTAAAACAATAGAATATTTTATGTAAGCCTCATAACAACCACAAAGCCAAAAACTATAGCAGATACAAAAGTGATAAATATGAAAGAATCAAAGCTTAGCACTACATAAAATCAGGACATCAAAAAGATAAATAACAAGAGAGTAATAAAGGGGGGAAAGAGCAACAAACCAACCAGAAAACAAATTACAAAATGTCAGTGAGAGACAGGACTAGCTGGATTTCTTAGGCTGACTAAGAATCCCTAAGCCTACCTGGGAAGGTGACTGCATCCACCTTTAAACGCGGGGCTTGCAACTTAGCTCACACTCAACCAATCAGGTAGTAAAGAGAGCTCATTAAAATGCTAATTAGGCAAAAACAGGAGGTAAAGAAATAGCCAATCATCTATTGCCTGAAAGCACTGGGAGAGGGACAATGATCGGGATATAAACCTAGGCATTCGAGCCAGCAACGGCTACCCTCTTTGGGTCCCCTCCCTTTGTATGGGAGCTCTGTTTTCACTCTATTAAATCTTGCAAATGCACTCTCTTCTGCTCTGTGTTTGTTAAGGCTGGAGCTGAGCTTTTGTCTTGCTGTCCACCACTGCTGTTTGCTGACATCTCAGACCCGCCCCTGACTTCCATCCCTCCAGATCTGGCAGGTTGTCCCAGGGTGTCCACTGTGCTCCTGATCCGGGGAGGCACCCATTGCCGCTCCCGATCAGGCTAAAGGCTTACCATTGTTCCTGCACGGCTAAGTGCCCGGGTTCGTCCTAATCGAGCTGAACACTAGTCACTGGGTTCCCCAGCTCTCTTCTGTGACCCACAGCTTCTAATAGAGCTATAACACTCACCACATGGCCCAAGATTCCATTCCTTGGAATCCATGAGGCCAAGAACCCCAGGTCAGAGAACACGAGGCTTGCCACCATCTTGGAAGCAGCCTGCTGCCATTTTGGAATCAGCCTGCCAACATCTTGGGAGCTCTGGGAGCAAGGACCACCCGGTAACATCAGTAGTAACTCTTTACATATCAATAATTACTTTGAAAATAAATGGATTAAATTCTCCAATCAAAGACACAGAAAAGCAGAATGGATTAAAAAAACAAGATCAAACTATACGATGCCTCCAAAAGACCCATTTTAGCCTCAAGGCCAAATATTTGCTGAAAGTAAAAGGATAGAAGAAGACAACCCATGCAAGTGGTAATCAAAAGAGAGCACGGGTGACTATATTGAAGTCAGATAAAACAGACTACAAGTTAAAAACTGTCACAAGAGACAGAAAGAATATTACTTAATGATAAAGGGAATAATTAATCAAGAAGACATAACACTTTTAAATACATATGCTCTCAACATTGAAGCACCTAAATATATAAAGCAAATATCAATAGATATAAAGAAAGATAACTACACAATAATAGTAGAAAACTTCAGTATTCCACTGTCAACCAGACAGAAAATTAATTTTAAAATACTGGAAATAAACTTCACTCTAGAGAAAATGAACCTAATAGAATTCCAAAAGTAGCAGAGAGGGATATATCAGAATATTCCTCTCATATACATGGAACATTATCCAGAATAGACCATACGACAGGCTACTAAACAAGTCTTAATGAATTTTTAAAAATTAAAAGTATATTAAGTATTGTTTCCAATCACAGTGTATGAAACTAGAATCAGTAAAAGCAGGAAACTATACAAACACATGGAAATTAAACATCACACTCTTGGCGGCCAATGGGTCAACTAAGAAATTAAAAGCAAAATTTTAAAATTTTAGAGACAAATTAAAATGAAAATACAACATATCAAAACCTATGGGATACAGCAAAAGCAGTACTCAAAGGGAAGTATATGGCAACAAGCATCAATGTCAAAAAATCCAGGAAGAGCTTAAACAACCAAGTTAACATTACACCTCAAGAAACTAGTAAAACAAGAACAAACTAAACCAAAAATTACTAAAAGGAAAGAAATAGTAAATATCAAAGCAAGAGTAAAAGAAATAAAGATGACAAAAACAATACAAAAGATCAACAAAAGAGTTTTTTTTTTTTTTTTGAGAAGATAAAATTGACAAATGTTTAGCCAGAGTAACTAGGAAAAAAGAGAAGACAAATAAATAGAACCAGAGATTAAAAAGGAGACATTACCATTGATGCAATAGAAATACAAAGGATCATAAGAGACAAGAAATGGATAAATTCCTGGACACATACAAGCTACCGGGATTTAAGCATGAAGAAGTAGAACTTTGGAACAGACTAATGACAAGTAACAAGACTGAATCAATAATTAATTCATCCAGCAATGAAAAGCCCAGAATCTGACACCTCCACTGCTGTATTCTACCAAATCATTAAAGAACTAATACCAATTCTTCCCAAACTATTTCAGATAATTGAAGGGATGAAATTCTTCCTGAATCATTCTATGAGGTTTGAATTACTTTGATTCCAAAATCAGACAAGGACATAACAAAGCAAGAAAATTATAGGTCATTATTTCTGATGAACACAGATGCAAAAATCCTCAACAAAATACTAACAAACTGAATTAAATAGCACAGTAAAAAGTCACAGTCACTCACAGTAAAAAAGTCCCACAACAAGTGGGACTTACACTAGGGATACAATAATGGTTCTACATATGCAAATCAAGTGTGACTCATCACATTAACAGAATAAAGGACAAAAAACATACAATTATTTCAAAAATGCAGAAAAGCATTTGAGAAAATTCTATGTTTTCTCATGATAAAAACTCTCAACAAATTAGGGATAGCAAGTATGTACCTCAACCCAATAAAAACCATATATTATAAATCCACAGGTGACATAATACAGAACAGGAAAAAGTTGAAAGATCTGGAACAAGACAAGGATGCCTACTTTCACCACTTTTATTCATCTTAGTACTGGAAGTCATAGCTAGAGCTATTAGACAAGATAAAGAAATAAAAGGCCGCCTGTAATCCCAGCACTTTGGGAGGCCAAGGCGGGTGGATCACGAGGTCAGGAGATCAAGACCATCCTGGCTAACATGATGAAACCCCGCCTCTACTAAAAATACAAAAAAAATTAGCCGGACATGGTGGTGGGCACCTGTAGTCCCAGCTACTCGGGAGGCTGAGGCAGGAGAATGGTGTGAACCTGGGAGGCAGAGCTTGCAGTGAGCCGAGATCACGCCACTGCACTCCATCCTGGGTGACAGAGCGAGACTCCGTCTAAGAAAAAAAAAAAAAGAAAAAAAGAAATAAAAGGCATCCAAATAGAAAAGGTGAGAGCCAAATTATCTTTTTTTTGCAGATGACATCATTTTATATATAGAAATCCCTAAATAATGCATCAAAAAAACTGTTAGAACTAGTGAATTCAGTAAAATTGCAGGATACAAAATTAACCTACAGAAATTAGTAGTGTATCTATATGCTGATAGCACACAAAAAAAATCTCATTTATAATAGCTACAAAAAAAAATATCGCCAGGAATAAATTTAACCAAGAAGGTGAATGATCTCTACACTGAAAACTATAAAACATTGGTGAAAAAAAATGGAATAGAAGACAAATAATTTGAAGCAATCTTCAAATTCAATACAACCTTTATCAGAATACTAATGACGTTCTTCACAGAAATAGAAAAAAGAATCTTAAAAGTCATATGGAACCATAAAAGATCTCAAGTAGTCAACGCAATCATGAGCAAACAGAAAAAATGTTAGAGGTATCATGCTATCTGATTTCAAAATAAACTTATAAAGCTATAGTAACCAAAACAACATGATACTGGCATAAAAACAGACATATAGACCAGTGGAACAGAATAGAGAGCTCAGAAGTAAATCCATACATCTACAGCCAATTGATTTTCAACAAGGGGGCTAAGAACACACATTGGAAAAGAACTATCATTTCAATAAGTGTTGCTGGGAAAATTGGATATCCACATTCATAAGAATGAAACTAGAACCCTATCATATACAAAAATCAACACAAAGTTATTAAGCTCTATTACCATTGCACACCAATTTCCTGTTTCTCCTTCATCCAAGCAATGGCTATAGAGTTTCAGTTATGCAAGATGAAATCTAGAGATCTGCTGTACAACAATATGCATACAGATAACCATACCATACTGTATACTTACTTAAACATTTTTTAATAAGGTGGTTTTCATATTATGTGATTATTACCAAAAATTTTAAAAAATGATTCCAGCTTACAGGCAAGCATAGGGGTGCTTTTAGTGTTTAACAATCTGAAGATTGATTCCCTTCTCATGAAATTGTAAAAAATTCTATTTTGATTGTGTGTCTCTGTGTGTGTGTGTGTGTGTGTGTGTGTAAAATTACTTCATGATATATAAAACAATAAAATTGGAAGTGGTCTAAATATGCTTTGTAAAACCATAGTTTTTATTGAAGGCTAAATCACCACAAATTTACACTGTAACATTACCAGTATTTTATTGTCTCATCTGACAGAAGGACTTGTCCTTAGTGTCAGATAAGTAGTTTGGTGGAAAAAGACTCTTGTGTTAACTCTTGTCACAAGTCAAGGAAGAGTGGCTTTCAGGGCTATTGATTTGAAAGGTAGATAACAGTGGACAAGAAATGTTATTTCCTAGGGTGATGCCAGAGTTTAAACATACCAAGATGTCAGATGTGGGATGCTCAGACTGAATTTGGAAAGGGATGTCCAGGACAATGCTGTCCCTATTCATTTTATACTTCTCTCTCAAAGTCCTACTTATAGTTGCTAAGCTCCCACTCTCCCTTGTGCTAATCAGAACAGAGCCCAAGGTCTTAGAGGCAAGACCTGAAATAAGATCTCTATGACTGTATTTCATCAACCTGAATAAAGCTGTACAGAACTTAGAAATCACACTTATCACTAGATAAATAAATTACCCAGAAATACATAAAATGTTAATATCAAAGACAAAATATTTTTATTTATGAGCAAATAAGGTAGTGCTTAAACATTGAATTGAGAAATATTAGAGAAGCTTTCATAAGCAGAGGTTTTGAGTGTTTAAAAACACCTATCAAAATTTTTTCATTAAGATTATATTTGTCTGATACCTGTGGGCCTTGCAGTGAAGTGTTAAACACAAAATCACATACTCAGGCACCTTTTGGAAGGTTCTTAAGTTTCGTACAACATTATTTTTCATTTGCCATGCACATAGAACTCAAGAAAGTAATTACACTGACCAAATGAATTTTGTGAATGCACACTTGATTTCATTAAGGAAAAGATGAAATTATTTCATGATCACTTATTAACTTTTACCATTTTACTAAAAAGGCTATTTTTAAACACTAAACACTAGTTCAGCATCAGAGTTGCAATGATCTCATGTTAAAACTGTAAACTGAGGGCCCAGTTGGGAGACAATGACTTCCTGGGCACTGAAAGGCTTAGGAGGTGGCAGCCTGGCCCATCGTCTTTCCATTAAGATGAGACTTGGGAAAAGGGGAACATTACGGTGGACTGGAGGCAAGACTAGATTGCAGCTCATTTGCAGACAGAGCAGTGTGTAGAGACTCACATTGTGACGTTTTGCTCTAGAACCTCGGCAGGAATAAACCAGAAGAGCCGAGATAACCCACAGACTCTCCGAAGGAAGTGGATTGCTCCTGTAGGACCCGGGAGACACCCCAAATAATGTGGGTGCCCAAACTGTGGAAGTAGAAAGGGGAATTGTCTGCCCCTGAACACACACCCTGACTGGGGAACCTGAAGGTCTAGATCATGGAAGAAGATTTTGACCTTCCCTAGAGCTGAAACAAATTAGAGAACCAAGTGAAATGCAGAAGTAGAGGAAGAAGCAGGAAAAGCCCTGTGGGCTTGCTGGGTCCCCTAGCAGGCCATTTCTTCCCTGCCTCTCAGAGGCCCTTGGGGAGGGCAGCCAGAGGCACTGGGAAAAGGCCACAGAAGGAAGGAAATTTCCAGTCGAACTTTTTTTTAACAATTTCAACCCATTGAGGAAATCTCCTGGCCAGAGCTTGGGGGAGTGTGCAAATCCAGTGTGCTGACTCCACAGGCCGGGGAAGAACAAAAGCCCTAACTGCTCTCATAGCTGGCAGGCAGGTAGTCTGGGACAAGTTCTCAGCCCTGCTCTCCCAATGTTTGGAAACAGACTCGGTTCTGTTGGAGGGGGCACAGTGGGAGTGAGACTTTTGGGTTGCGTGGGTGCTGGGTGAGGCCTGTGACTGCTGGCTTTCCCCCACTTCCCTGACAACCTTCATGACACAGTAGAGGCAGGCATAATCCTCCTAGGAACATAATTCCATTGACCTGGGAACCTCACCGCCATCCCCACAGCAGCCTCAGTAAGACCCACCCAAGGAGAGGCTGAGCTCAGACATGCCTAGCCCTGCCCTCACCTAATGGTCCCTCCCTACCAACCCTGGTAACTGAAGACAAAGGGCATATACTCTTGGGAGTTCTAGGGCCTTGCCCACCACTTCTTCCTCCCCATACTACTACAGCTCCTGGCAGGAGGCCCACTCGTACAAAAATAATACCTTAAGCAACCAAAGCCAAGGACCCTCACAGAGTCCATTTCACCCCCCTGCCACCTCCACCAGAGCAGGTGTTGCTATCCATGGCTATGAGACCTGCAGATGGTTCACATCACAGGACTCTGTGCAGACAACCCCCGGTACCAGCCTGGAGCCTGGTAGACCTACTGGGTGGCTAGATCCAGAGAGAGATAACAATCACTACAGCTTGGATCACAGGAAGCCACATCCCTAGGAAGAGACAGAGAGTACTACATCAAGGGAACATGCCGTGGGACAAAAGAATCTGAACAGCAGCCTTCAGCCCCAGATCTTCCCTCTGACATAGCCACCCAAATGAGAAGGAACCAGAAAAAACAATTCTGGTACTATGACAAAACATGGTTCTTTAACATCCCCCAAATACCATACTAGCTCACCAGCAATGGATTCAAACCAAGAAGAAATCCCTGATTTACCTGAAAAAGAATTCAGAAGATCAGTTACTAAGTTAATCAGGAAGGCATCAGAGAAAGGCAAAGCCCAATCTAAGAAAATTTTAAAAAAGATACAAGAAGCGAAGGGAAAAATATTCAATGAAAGAGATAGCATAAATTAAAAAAAATTAAAACTTCAGGAAAGAATGGATGCACTTATAGAAATGCAAAATGCTCTGGAAATTCTCAGCAACAGACTGGAGCAAGCAGAATAAAGAACTTCTGAGCTTGAAGACAGGGTCTCCAATTAACCCAATCTGACAAAGAAAAAAGAATAAGAAAAAATGAACAAAGCCTCCAAGAAGTTTGGGACTACGTTAAACAACCAAACCTAAGAATAACTGGTATTCCTGAGGAAGAAGGGAAATGTAAAAGTTTGGAAAACATATCTGGGGGAATAATAAAGGAAAACTTCCCTGGCCTTGCCAGAGACCTAGACATCCAAATACAAGAAGCACAAAGAACACCTGGGAAATTCATCACAAAAAGATCATTGCCTCAGCACATTGTCTTCAGGTTATCTAAAGTCAAGGTGAAGGAAAGAATATTGAGAGCTGAGGCAAAAGCACCAGGTAACCTACAAAGGAAAACCTATCAGATTAACAGCAGATTTCTCAGCAGAAATTCTACAAGCTAGAAGGGATTGGGACCCTATCTTCAGCCTCTTTAAACAGAACAATTATCAGGCACGAATTTTGGATCCAGCAAAACTAAGCTTCATAAATGAAAAAAAGATACAATCTTTTTCAGACAAATGCTCTGAGAATCTGCCACTACCAAGCCAGAACTATGAGAACTGCTAAAAGGAGCTCTAAATCTTGAAACAAATCCTGGAGACGCATCAAAACAGAACCTCTTTAAACCATAATTCTCACAATACCTATAAAACAAAAATACAATTAAAGAAAAAAAGGTATACAGGCAACAAATAGCATGATGAATGGAATAGTACCTCACATATCAATACTAACAATGAATGTAAACGGTCTAAATGCTCCACTTAAAAGATGCAGAATTGCAGAATGCATAAAAATTCACCAACCAACTATCTGTTGCTCTCAAGAGACTCACCTAACACGTAGGGACTCAAATAAATTTAAGGTAAAGGGGTGGAAAAAGACATCCCATGCAAATGGACACCAAAAGTAAGCAGGAGTAGCTATTCTTATATCAGACAAAACAAATATGAGGTGCAGAAGACAAGTGAGAAATTGTCAGAAGAAAAGAAGAAGAGGAAAAGATGAGAATATTCTATATGAAACTATTTCAAAAATTTTAGTAGTGGGGACTCCTCCTCAACTCATTCTATGAAGCCAGCATCACCCTGATACCAAACCTGCCAAAGATACAATGATAAAAGAAAACTATAGGTCAATATCCCCATTGAACACAGATGCAAAAATCCTAAAAGAAATATTAGGAAACTAAATTCCACAGTACATCAAAAAGTTAATTTATCATGATCAAGTAGGCTTCATTCCTGGGATGCAAGGTTGGTTCAATATATGCAAATCAATAAATTGATTCACCACATAAACAAAATTAAAAACAAAAACCATATGATCATCTCAGTAGATGCAGAAAAAGCTTTTGATAAAATCCAACATCCCTTCATGTTAAAGCCCCTCGATAAACTAGGCATCAAAAGAACATACCTCAAAATAATAAGAGCTATCTATGTTAAACACACAGCCAAGTGAAAGGGCAAAAACTGAAAGCATTCCCCTGGAACAAGACAAGGATGCCCTCTCTCAGCACCCCTTATTAAACATAGTACTGGAAGTGCTAGCCAGAGCAATCAGGGAATATAAAGATATAAAAGGCATCCAAATAGGAAAGGAAGAATTCAACTTATCTTTGTGGATGATATGACTCTATACCTAGAAAACTCAAAAGACTCTGCCAGAAAACTCCTGGAACTGATAAACAACTTCAGCAGAGTTTCAGGATACAAAATCAATGTACTCAAATCAGTAGCATTTCTATAAACTGATAACATTCTAGCTGAGGGCCAAATCAAGAACACAATCCCATTTACAAATGCTACAAAAAATAAAATAAAGTGTCTAGGAATACATCTAATCAAGGAAGTGAAAGCTCTCTAAAAGGAGAACTACAAAACACTGCTAAAAAAAATCATAGATGACACAGGCAAATGGAAAAACATCCCATACTCATGAAATTCAAGAATCTATATTGTCAAAAAGGCCATACTGCCCAAAGCAATCAACAGATCAATGCTATTCCTATCAAACCACCAATGTCATTTTTCATAGAATTGGAAAACATTATACTAAAATTCATATGGAACAAACAAAGAGCCAAGAATAGCCAAAGCAATCCTAAGTAAAAAGAGCAAAGCTGGAGGCATAACATTACCCAATTTCAACCTATACTACAAGGCTACAAATTAGCTTATATTATAATGTAGTATGTAACCTAAACTATACATACTATACTATACTATACTATACTATACTATACTATACTATACTATACTATACTATACCTATACTATACTATACTATACTATGCATTAGCCTATATAACCTATACTATAAGGTACTGGTACAAAAACAGACACATAGACCAATGGAACAGAATAGATAACTCAGAAATAAAGCCACACACCTGCAGTCATCTAATCTGAAACAAAGTCATCAAAAATAAACAGTGGGGAAAGAACTCCGTATTCAATAAATGGTGCTGGGATAGCTGTCTAGCCATATGCAGAAGAATGAAACTGGACCCTTTCCTTTCACCATACACAAACACTAACTCAAGGTGGATTAAAGATTTAAATATAAGACCTCAAACTATAAGAATCCTAGGGAAAAAAAAAAAAAAAACCTCAGAAACACCATTCTGGACATGGGCCTTGAGAAAAAAATTTATGATTAGGTTCTCAAAAAACAAAACAAAACAAAACAAAAACAAAAACAAATAAGAAAAAAACAATTGCAATGAAAGCAAAAATTGACAAGTGGGACCTAATTAAACTACAGAGCTTCTGCACAGCAAAAGAAACTATCAACAGAAGAAGCAGACAACCTAGAGAACTGGAGAAAATATTTGCAAACAATGCATCAAACAAAGTTCTAATATCCAGAATCTGTAAGAAACTTAAACAACTTAACAAGCATAAAACAAATAACCCCATTAAAAAGCGGGCAGAAGACATAAATAGACACTTCTCAAAAGAAGATATACAGTAGCCAACAAATGTATAAAAGAATGTTCATCATCACTAATCATTAGAGAATGCAAATTGAAACCACATTGAGATATTACCTCACACCAGTAAGAATGGCTATTATTAAAAAGCTAAAAAACAACAGATGTTGATGAGGCTGTGGAGAAAAGAGAATGCTTATACACTGTTGGTGGGAATGTAAATTAATTCAGCCACTTTGGAAAACAATTTGGAGATTTCTCAAAGACCTTAAAATAGAACTACCATTCAACCCAACACTCCCATTACTGGATGTATATCCAAAAGTAAACAAATAGTTCTACCGTAAAGGGACAGCACTCACATGTTCATCGCAATACTATTCACAATAGCAAAGATATGGAATCAACTTAGATGTCCAACAACGATGGCCTGGATAAAGAAAATATGATACATATACACCATGGAATACTATGGAGCCATGAAAAATGAAATCATGTCCTTTGCAGCAACATGGATTCAGCTGGAAAACATTATTCTAAATAAATTAATACAGGAACATAAAACTACATACTGCATGTCCTCACTTATAAGTGGGAGCTAGACACTGGGTACTCATGGACATAAAGACAGCAACAATAGACACTGGGGACTACTAGGGCATGGAGGGAGGGAGGGAGGCAAGAGTGGGAAAAGTTAACGGTTGGGTACTATTCTCCATACCTGGGTGATGGGATCATTCATACCCCAAACCTCAGCATCATGCAATATAACCCAGGTACCAAACTTGCATATGTACTCTCATAATCTAATGTAAAAGTAAAAAAAAAAAACTGTGTAATGCTAAATTAGATTTATGGATGCAAATTTATGACAAGTTGACTTAAGCTTTTAAAATATAATGCCCAAATCACATTGCTTATAAATATTAAGGTTTATTTTCAGAGCAATTAAGAATAAATTTTATGTATTTCATATAATCATTTTTATCTTTGCAAATTGGTGTAAAATAAAGCAGGCATCCCCATAGAAAAGTATAGAATATTAAAAACGAAATGTAATTTCATATTTTTTGCTGATGATTTAAAGAAAATATTGGGAAAAAGTTGTGTAAAATTTTTTTTTGTTGAGAGGGGAAAATCCACGGAAAATAAATAACTGATTATTTTAAAAATTAGGGTGGGCGCAGTGGCTCACGCCTGTAATCCCGGCTCTTTGGGAGGCCGAGGAGGGTGGATCACCTGAGGTCCGGAGTTTGAGACGAGCTTGATCAACATGGAGAAACCCCGTCTCTACTAAAAATACAAAATTAGCTGGACGTGGTGACGCATGCCTGTAATCCCAGCTACTTGGGAGGCTGAGGCAAGAGAATTGCTTGAACTCGGGTGGCAGAGGTTGCGGTGAGCCAAGATCGCGCCATTGCACTAAAGCCTGGGCAATAAGAGAGAAACTGTATCTCAAAAAAAGAAATAAATAAAATAAAATAAAATAAAAAAGAAGCGAGTTTTCAATGGAAAATTAAAGCAAATTTCATTATTAAGCAAATATTTAATTGGGAAATTCTAGTGAGCATATTTTATTATTTTCAGCTGGATACCAAGATCACATTAGCAGAAATGCCTTTACAGAGCTGGACTTCAATATTATGCTCTCAGCTTTCATCAGGTCACTGTAAGAAATTGACAAATGAAAAATCATGTATGTGTTCATTATAAAACTCTAGGTTATTTTCTCTCAGTGTAGCCTTTGTAAAGTTTCCAAGGGAGAAATTTCCTTAGCAATTTAGTAAGAGGAAATCTTTACTTCTCTTCAGGAATGGGAACACTTCCTTCATTTGAATATTAATAATAAGAACTATGCAACTTATATGTACATTCTCCATATACATTTGTGTATGAGTATGCATGTATGTGTGTGATGAATTCCAGGAAGCTGACAATCATAAATTCTCATAAAACTAAATGTGCACCTACTATATGTAGTAAGCAGAATGATGCCACCCTTCTCTGCTCCTATCCCCCAAATAAAGATGTCTATGCCCTAATCCCCAGAAGCTGTAAATATGTTACTTTACTTATAAAAGGGACTCTGCATAAGTGATCAAATTAAGAACCCTAGGATAGGAATATTAATCTGGGTTGTCCACGTGGATCCAAAGTGTTCACAAGAATACTTATAACAGAACGGGGAGGCAGGACAGTCAGAGTCAGAGGAGATGTGACAACAGAAGCAGAGGTGAGAGAAAGAAGCAAGAGAGGGAAGGATGTGAAGATGCTGTGCTGCTGGCTTTGAAGATGAAGGATGGTGCCATGATCAAGAAATGTGGACACATTTTAGAAGCTGGAAAAAACTAGGAAGCCGACTCTCCCCTACAACCTCCAGAAGGAACACAAACCTGCCCACACCTTGATTTTAGGCCACTGAGATTTCTAACTCCCACAACTGTAAGATAACAAAATTTGTATTATTTAAATCACTGTGGTTCTTTGTTACAGTGGCAACAGGAAGTGAATACACCATAGAGTCCAGCAATTGTATTCTTGGGTATTTACTTCAGAGAAATGAAACCTGCTCACACAAAAACTTGTACACAAATTTCACAGTGGCTTTACTCATAATACTTAACAACCAGAAGTAATCCAAATGTCCTTTAAGGGGTGAATGGTTAAACAAACCATGGTATAAATACACCATGTTTCTCAGTAATAGAAAGCAGCACACTATTTATACAATCAACTTAGATTATTCTTAATGGATTATACTGAGTTAATAAAAGCCAGTTTTAATAGATCATATAATATATGATTTCATTTCAATAACATTTTTGAAATGAAAAAAATTTAGAATGGAGAACAAAATAATGTTTTCTAGGTTTGGGAATGGTAAAGGAGGTGAAAGTTGGTGTGAAATTTTGGTGGTGAGAAATTTGGTAAATGATTAAAAGGAATTCTATTGGTAGAATGATTTAAAGTTTTAGTCCAACTGATGAAAGTTACATAATTCTCCCTCAGCTAATCAATTAGAATACAAAATAATCACACTGCCAGTTGTACTATTTCAATCTATTTTTATTTTCTTCTTCATGACAGGTCCACTAATACTTGCAAATAGGTGGAAAGCCTTCAGAAATAATAAATAAATGGAAGTATTATCTATTTACCTATTAATGGGGTAGCTGTCTTAGGAAGTCAATTTATAAAATGTATAGCCCAGCAAATTTATTAAGATACCATAAAATGGTCCCAACAAATTCTCAATAGAAGCTTGTGAAACAGAAAGTTAAAGATTGCCTTATTAAAATACCATTCATTATAGAGATTTATATCTAATGCCTACCTTTCTACGACACACATCTACAACAAGATTTGGCATGTATTAACAGGAAATTTTATATTAGTGCATGTGCTCATCAGTGATTCAAACAGTATATACAGATGAAAATAAAGTCCTATTTAACCTTGTATATTCATTCCTTTTATTATTTATAGCATTGTTGGACTATAATAAAATATTATTTCCATCAAAATGATTTTGAGCATAAACCATGCATCTAAATTTAAATATAGATTCGACAAAATCTCAAAATCTGAACAAATTGAAAATTATACACAGAGGTGATGCTTATACATATATAGTTGCATATCTGTATAGTTAAATCAAATTATCATTTAAAAAATAAGAATAACAAAAGAATCAGAAAGATGTATCATGTTGTTTAAGGACCAGTTGTGAGTCCACAAATCAACTATGGATCTTTTATGGTTCTAAAAATCTACCATTTGGTGGAATGAAAAGCATATAGTTTTAATTTGGATCTTTAAATGGCAACACACCGAACTAATACAGTCTTTCTTAATTATGTTATTGTGCTATGCATTTTGATTTGAGTTCATATTCATAAAAAGTAATATAACTTTAAAAAATTTTGTAATAATAACTATGTTTTAAATGTTGGCTGTGAGTAGAAAGTAATCTCAGTTTAATTAGCTGCTTACTTCTATATGCTAAATTAGAGGTACATTACTAAATACAAAACTTTAAATTATATAGTGAAAAAAATATCCAAACATAATTACCAGAATCTCTACAGGAAGATGTAATTACTATGGGCTAAATTCTTTCTTCAGTTTCATTTTTGCATCTCCCACAGAAGCCAACAGACACAAACTGCATACATATCTAAGGGCTGACTATTAATTTACTGTGAATTCTTCTGGGCAATGTCCAAAAACTAATGGAAAATATATCATGAAAGCTTAAAATAAACATTTTCAACTATGTATAGTGAAATCAACTTAACACACCATTCATTCCTTTTAGAAGCAGGCATCCAGAATGTTCAATGCTAACCTTGATTTTCCAACCAACTCACTCTCTGCCCTTGAAGAACTTACTTAATTAGTCTACATCTAACTTTATGCATCTGTAAAGTGGATATAATAAATATTCATTTACCTCATGGGAATGTTTGGAGAATGCATGTTTGTAAAATTGCAAAAAGATTTATGGATGAAAGTTATGGATCAGAGTGCAGAATGGAAAGCATGTCAGATGCTCTGCTCTGCTCTGTGTCTAGCACATTGTTGGCAAGCGGTAAGCATTACTTGATAATAACTGCATTTAGAATAACCACCAGAAGCAGAAACCTGAATATATATGGTCATGCACAACATGAAAAGATAACTATATTCTGGTGGAGCTACATGATCTGACTTTTAATCCTACCACAGTGGATTAATGAATCAGCAAAGAAATAGGCTTTTCCAAAAAAGAAACAACACACTAAAAGGTATAACAACTTCGGCAATAAATACATGTAGCTGGAAAGCATATGTTTAGCATATTGGTCAGAACCATGAGTTTTGATGTTAGGCAGACTTAGTTTCAATCACAGCTTTACTTTATATGTGACCTCAGATAAATTGCTTTACTACATTTACCTAATCAGTTTTTTTAAAAAATGGAATTGAAAATAGACTCATACGTTTTTGTGAGGATTAATAAAATAATGTATACAGATGGTCTCCAATTTATGATGGTTCAACTTATGATTTTTTTTTTTACTTTACCATGTGAAGCATGTGTGAAAGCATCATGCATTCAGTACACACCATACTTTGAGTACCCATATAACCATGCTGCTTTTCACTTTTGGTACAGTATTCAATAAATTATATAAGACATCCAATATTTTATTATAAAATAGGCTTTGTGTTAGATGATTTTGTCCAACTGTAGGCTAATATAAGGGTTCTGAGCACATTTGTAGTTAGGCTAGATTAAGCTATGATGTTTGGTAGCTTAGGTATATTGAATGCATTTTCTTTTTTCTTCCTTTTTTTGTAGAGATGGGGTTTCCATCTCTACATGTTGCTTAGGCTGGAGTGCAGTGGTTATTCATGTGATGATAATGCACTACAGCCTCGAACTCCTGGGTTCAAGCAATGCTTCCATCTCAGCCTCTCAAATAGCCGGGACTACGTGAGCATGCCAGTGCACCCAGCTAAATAAATTTTTAACTTATAATATTTTCAACTTATGATGGTATGATGGGTTTGTCAGGATGAGTGTAACCATATCATAAGTCAAGTAACATCTGTATAGAGCACTTATCATAATGCTGACATATAATAAGTAGTATTTATCAATTACTCAAATTATTAAATACCTACTATATGCCAAATATTGTAATGTATGTTAGTGACTGTTTATGTCTTCTCAAAATTCGTATGTTGAAGACGTAAACCTCAATATGGTAGTGTTTGGAAGGGGTACTTCTAGGAAGTAATTAAATAATGAGGGTGTGGTTCTCATAACAGAATTAGCACTCTTATAAGGAGACTCAAGATAGATGATTTCTCAGCCACAAGGCAGCTATCTGCAAACCAGAAAGAAGGGCCTCATCAGGAACCAAATTTGCTGATACCTTATCTTAGACTTCCTAGCCTCCAGAACCATGAGAATTAAATGTTTGTTGTTTAAGCCATCCAGTCTATGTATTTCTTATAGCAGACCTAACCATCTAAGACAGTAATATATTGATGAAGAAGCTTTCAAGAAGCTTACATTCTAGAAGAGAGATAGAAAAAAAAAATAAGGAAATAAGCATAATAATATCAAGCAGACAAAATAGAGTAATGTTATAGATCATTAGTTATCCATTATAGCTGCAAATTAAATCATCTGGAAGCTTTTTAAAAACTGTGATGACTCAGTTCCACCCGAGAATAATTAAATCACAATCTCAGGTTTGTGTCCCATGCACACTGGATATAGGATGCATCATTATTCACAATGGTAAAAAGAGAGAGGAGCAATCTGAAGAGAAAGGAATTGTGTTGAGATTGATGTCCACATAAAAATGACTACATTTACATCAAAATATCAAAAGAAAGTTGACTATTTGGATTAACATTTTAGGATAGACAGAGAGGCTGGGACATAGATTTTGGAAGCAACAGTACATAACTGGCAGTTGAAGTCACATATGAAGATGCAAATACCTAAGCAGTATATTTACAGTGAGGAGACTTAGGGTTGTGGACAGAAGACACTTAAAGTGGCTCCAATGATGCCCACTTCCAGTTGTTCATGCCGGTGTGTGAGCCCCATTCCTTGGGCATGGGAAGGATCTGTGACTTGCTTCTAAATAATAGAATGGATATGATTTGGGTATATGATTAGATGGTTACATAAGATTGTAGCACCTATCGTCTGTGGTCTCCCTGTCTTACTTTGGGTAAGCAAAGTAAGTCATACTTTGGGAAAGCAAAGAGTCATACTAGGGAACCCTATGTAGTAAGAATTGCAAGGGGCCTCTGGGAGCTGAGGGTGGCCTCCAGTGAACAGCCAGCAAGTAATTGAAGACCTAACGGCCCTACAACCACAAAGAATTGAATTCTGCCAACAACATGAATGAGCTTATAATAATCATAATATCTTATAATAACCCTTTTCCAGTTGAGCTTCGGATAAGACCACAGTTTTGAAGATTACCTTGATCTCAGTCTTGTGATACACTAAGCAGAAGACCTAGCTAAGCCATATTTTAATTCCTAACCCAAAACAAACTGTGAGATAATAAATGTATATTGCTTAATCCACTAAAATTGTTGTAATATCATTACTTGGCAATAGGCTTTCTAGATGTGACAAGAAATCAAGATGAGAGTTACATTACAAAGATATCTATAATTTAATTTTAAATATTTTTTGTATGAGCAGTGTGATATCATGCATGAGGTTATGCAAAATAATAGAATTCCCACTCGATGTATCTGCTTTTAGTAAACCTTAAATTCAAAGTGTGATTGAAACATTTAAATGACAAAGAACAGTAAGATCCCCTAGTTAATGGCACAATGGCTCAAGTTTTGTGCTAGTGTAGTTAAAATTATCTACAAGTTTGGCAGAATTTTATCATAGATTGCTTTTGTAATAATTTACTTTCACAGCTATAGCAATTTACCAAAGTAAAACTAAAAGTTGTACTTAAGCAGGCTGACTTAGGTCAGTTCAAATAAGAAAAGCTTTAAGATGAGAACATTCAATACTCTGGAGTGCAATAAAAGTAACAAGTAAGGCAAGAACTAACAAGCATTCTTTAGATTTGTCAATTAACTTCAATGGTCACTCCAGAACTGTCAATGGTAGTAACATCCAAAGCCAGATTGCAGTAAGTAGGTGGTAAATAAGTGATAACAATCAGTATAAACTATTTGTTTCAGAATCTTCGCTGAAAAAAGGAGAGAGATGGGGAAGTAGTTAGACTGGAACATACAGTTTTGTTGTGGATTGAATTGTGTTTCCTAAAAAGATATGTTGAAGTCCTAAGTCCTAATCATAGCTATGGACGTGACTTTATTTGGAAACAGGGTTTGCAGATGTAATTAATTTAAAATGAGGTCATACTTGATGAGAGTGGGACCTAGTTCAATATGACTGAGATCCTTAGAAGAGGAAAATGTAAACACAGGGAGGAGAATGCCATGTGAAGACATAGACATACTGACATAGAGAGAAGACAGCCTTGTGAAGACTGAAGCAGAAATTGGAATCATGGTGCTGCAAGCCAAGGGATACGTGGAAGTACCAGAAGTGGATACGTGGAAGTACCAGAAGCTGCAAAACACAAAGAAGGATTTCTCTTTAAAGGCTTCAGAGACAGCATGGCCTGATGATACCAATAGAACTTTCAGGATTCTAGCTTCCAAAAATGCAAGTCAATAAATTTCTCTTGTTTTAAGCCACCTAGTTTGTGGGTAATTTGTTATGTCATCTCTAGAAAATTAATACAAATTGATAAGAAAATAATCTTAGGATATGAGTGGCTTAAGTCTGCTCAAACTAAGGAGAAGAACCCAAAGAAATAGAGAAGATGAGGAGGCAATAAAAAAAAAAGAGACCTGAAGGGAAGAACATCTTGGAAGAGACAAAAGAACAGGATCAAGAGACTTCAACCTGTGGATCATTTCCTCACAATACTACCTGACTGCGTGTTAAAAAGGCAATTCCTGGGCCCCAACACCTGCCTAAAAATTAGTCTTTGAAAGGGTAAGCTTGGATTCTATCAGCTCCTTGCGATCTGATCACACTAAAGTTTAAGAAACACTGAATTAGAGGATAGGTAGTTAAATCATGAAAATATAGAATTAGAAATTTAAAAATTCTGCTGCCACTTCCTAGTCTCAGACTCAACCCCAGGTCTGTTTTTGACTAATATTCTTGTTGTTCCCATAAATGCCCAATTCATCACAAATCTACATATTTATAGGTGGTAATAGCCCCTTTCATTTTTCACAGATAAACAGAAGACCTGTTCTCAACTTTAGGGTATTTTAGAAAGACCCAGGGAATGTATTGTACTTACAGATTTGTGGGCTCTACTGTCAGAAATTCTGATTCAGTGCATCTGGGCCCAAGAATCTAGACCTGCAGGAAGCACTCCATCTGATTCTGAGAGAATGGCAACCTAGAACTGCTTTCCAGAAGCACTCCCTGACAAATATTCACTGCAAGCTCAAAGCAATTGCAGAGTCTGATAAGCAGAGTCTGATAAAGCAGCCAGAGTGCTGATGAAACTTTGGCAGCATTAAGAGCTGTCAGCGTTAAGAACTATAATATCCAGATCAAGGAAGATAAGTGTCTATCCTCTGCAATGGCAAAATTGAGCACAAAATACTGTGTTTGGTTATGTACATCGTATTTTAAGAAGAACATGGCTTTACTATATGGTACATTTTGCCCCAGTGAGTAGAATTCATACCATTGAGGCCTAAGGGGATACAGAGGTCAGGCCTTTGATAGGGTGACATTCGTATATCTTGTAGCTGAAACAGTCTCCCAGAAACTTGGGAGATATTATGCTCTACTCTCCACTTGAAAGCACTCTTTGAACTATATTGTTGAGAGTTGCTTAATTTAAACAAATAAATAATTAAAGCATTTAACATGCAATAGGCATTATGTGGCAAATAAGGACCCACTTCATAATGTCACACAATCTCTTAAAGTCCATTTACATTTCAAGGTCGCATCTGGTTGTAAAAATCTCATGGACCAGACATCTTCTGGGTACCCTAGGTCACTAAGAGCCCAGAAGAAACAATAACTAAGTGCTAGAACCATATAATTTCTGATATTAATGCTCTATATATTTCCGGATCGTCCCTGCTCCCATCTCTCTTCCTCTCTTCCTTTCTTTCTTTCTCTCTCTCTAATTCTATCTCCCTGTTTTCTGTCAAATATAAGACTTGCTTTTTTTTAGTGGTTTTCAACACTGCTAAAGATTAGAGTCACTCAGGGAGCTTTTGCAGTACTATCTGAAGCTCTAACCCAAAGATCAAAAATAAATTTCAGAATGGGAAACATCTCCATTTTTAGTCTTATGCATCTGACATTTCTAGGCATTCTTCCTTCCACCTTTCAAAAGGAAGGTCACTCATCTTACTGTAGACATTATTTCTGCATGTCAGTCTTTTCTTTACCCTTACAGTAGAAATCCCTTCAGGCATTCTCCCATTTAAAATGAAACCATTATTCTCAGAAGCTATCTCAGATAGCTTACTTTACCTATTTTTTCTAATGCTCTGGGTGGAGATGAACAGAATGTATTTTAAGTGAGGATAAGCAGATCTTTTTCATTTTCCTTCAAAACGTATACCCCAGATGTGTTTCATTAACTCAGATAAAGGGCATAGAAATGGTAAACAATGATACACAAATATCTACACTGATTATATTTCCCAGCAACTCAAGCTGTTCCATAATAGCAAGTCTTAGGTTTATTTTTGCTGTAATGTTTAAGAGGAGACTGAAAGGCCCAAACACGCAGGCTCCATGATTCTTCTCTGTTACAAGGTGTAAAATCTCTCCTGAAGCCAAAGGGAAATGTCTCTTGGCTGTAAAGGTGGTTCAATATCCTCAGAATTTCAGGATCTGCCTCAAAATATTCAACATAAAATTTATCAAAGCCTTAGCAAACTGTATGAAACTTTTATGTTCCCATGTCATGGATTGCTAAATGGAATTCTTGGTGAATGTATAGAATATATATTCTGTAGCTTATCCCAGTGTTCAATACTTCATTTTCCAACTTGGAGATGCTGTGTCTAGCCAAGTCTGTTGATTAGTTTACTTTCAAAAAGGGAAAGTAAAATAAAAACAATGACATAAAATAAAAAACCCCACAAAACAGACCACTTATGTGTGCCAAATCTTGCTGGAGAATCTCATTGTTTACTTATTGTAATGGCTTCTAATTTTCCATGTATTATCAAAGCTTAAAATAAGTAGTGAAAATATCAGTAACAAATACAAATATGTGAGAGTTTCAATAATGAAAATGAAACAAATCAGCCATCAAGTCTATTATGTCATTATAAGTATTTATAGTTTTCATTTCTAAAAGGCAAAAATTAAATGTAAATATTAGTGGAACCCCTCCCATAACACAGACACATAAATTTTAGAAACATCACTTTGTTATTTTATCTTATCAGATAAAAACATGATGATTAGCACCAGCAATAATTGGCTTGATTTAATGGAATCAAAATTTCCTGCTGACATTTTACAAAGATATGACTATTGAGCAAGTTAAATTGGTAGGATAAGAACAAAAAAATCAACATTATGTTATATGAACCAAAAAAAATGTCAAGACCAGGATATTTAAGCTTGTTCTTTTCTTTCTTTTTTTTTTTTTTTTTTTTTTTTTTTTTGAGACAAGATATCACTCTGTCTCCCAGGCTAGAGTGTAGTGCTGCAATCATGGTTAACTGCAGTCTTGACCTTCCTGGCTCAAGGGATCCTCCTGCCTCAGTCTCCCAAGTAACTGGGACTACAACATATACCACTATACCTGAATAATTTTTAATTTTTTAATTTTCATTTTTAGTTTTTGTAGAGATGGTGTCTCATTATGTTACCCAGGCTGGTCTCAAAATCCTAGGCCCAAGTGATTCTCCTCCTTCAGCCTCCCAAAGTGTTGAGATTACAGGCATGAGCCACCATGCCTGGTAGTTTATCATTCTTTACTCCAACTTACAATATTGCGGATTTTAGTTCTGACTTTATGCAGCATATCCTCTTTCTCATAATTTCTAATAAAATATTGGCTAGATCTGTGAAAATTATAAAACCTGAATATTTCAAACATTAGGGGATATTAAACCTTATAGGGTTTATGTCAATAAATTTTACTCTATTTAATAATATGATTTTGTTACAGCAGTACTTATTAAGCTTTTCCTCTGGGTACAATGAACAGTAGAGGTGAATGAGTTTGCATCCTCAGAGATCTATGGCACAAGTCCAAAGCAAGCTGCTATGACCTGTGTACAACACATTTTTAAGTCTAATGCTAAAGATAAAAACAAAAATCATGGTAATTTTATACAAGAAAAAACACAAGTTGAATTAAAAAGTAATAAAAATTCATTTTTTTTCCTCCTAAATTATCTAGCAATTTAACAGTCCTGAATATGAATGGGTGCCTTGGTACAAGTAGCATATATTTAAGAAACTGGGCAACATTTGAAAATCTCAAAACACTGAGGGAAGTTATATTCCAGAAAGATTTGTTTTGAACCAGAGAGAAAGGATGCTTAGAATTAAGATCTACAGGAGAAGGCAAGTCTAGAACAGGACAAAAGAGTCACTAGGCAAATGTCATAAGCAATATAATGGTTTAGTTTTATTTTTTGGTGAATTGTAAAATAGTCACATGAAACTACAAGACCCAGTCAAAATGCCATGGAAGGGCTATGGGTAAAGAGTAAATAAAAAAGGGAAGACACTGTTCTGAATACTAGATACGAAATGAAACACAAACCACAAATTCTACTTGACTTGAAAAACAGATGAACTGTAAAGACCATATCCTGACAGACAAACTAAGCTTAAATTCTTTTAGCACCAGTTTGTTCACATGTGTATTTTTCTAGATAAAATCACAAGCTGATTTAGCAGTTCAATTCATTGATTGCATGGGCTCATGGACAGTTCTGGCAACTGACCTAATTTACAAATTCTGATCAATCCCTCCCTAGACTTCACTTATGACCATCTGCCTTGTACAGTACGTGTCTAACCCGAGGTCCATAAACCCTACATGACTCTTCCCTCATTCTCTCTCTCTTAAGCAGGTGCTCTCCCTTATTTAGCAAGTTGACTAAATCTACCTTTGCATGATACACAGGGTCTCCGAAGGCGTTGTTATGGGGAGTTTAGCAAATATTCTGTAATAATATCGAAATTGTAAATATAATCATGCCAATGATTTATGGTTTTTCCCTTGAAACTTAAATTTAACTACCTTCTCATGTCAAAAAGTTGCTAGTGTTTCTACTGCCATTTTTTTACCCAAGACCAACTCAAACTTGATGATTGACACAGTTCCTCAGATTTTATTCTGAGGGTTATTGCATGTGGTTTGGTGTCTAACTAGCCTCTACTCTCTAATTCTGATGATCTCAGTATTTTCCTCTCCAATTCACTTGGCTTGGCCAGCTTCTTTGATTTAGAGATCTCTCTAACTGATCCAGGCATATCAAATATTTAAATACAGGTTCATATATACACTCTATTTTTTCTTTAGCAATTTTTGTTTCAGAAATAATCAGGTGTTTTAAATTCATTTATAAAATTGAGGACATTCAAACTTTCAGACTACCTCATATGAATCTTCACTTCTACTCAAATAGAAATATTCACGAATATTAGTGTGTATTAAAAACATCAAGGTTAAAACTAGTCAAGCTAGTTTTGAATATGAAACATCAGTGAAACAGTTTTCTTCCAGTATAAGTTAAGAGAAAAAGACAGAAAGCAGGACTCCAAAAAGTTACCAAAAATTAATTCAAAATTTCTCCTTGGAACAGTGGTGCACATACTTTGATTTACCAGATTAAGATATACTTAACATGCCGAAAATCAAACTGATGAAGTTTTATGACTTTCTTTACATGTTTAATCAATTCATTTTATATGTTCAGCTAAACTCCTAGTAAACTGTTTTTCATTTATGGGTTCTCAGAATGCAAAAATAATATTCACCCAAAATGTACTAACTGATTTACTTAATGTTATTAACTAGCATTATGTCTAATCACAAAAGTTACTGAATAAAAAACAAATCCTACACTGAATGTATTAGTTAACTGGTCTAATATTTTTGCTGTCAAAAATATGGCTCCTAACAGTATTTTGTCACTTATTAATTGAACAAGTCATTCTGTTTCTTTTCTTTTTTTCTTCAATTAACACATTCCTAAAATACAAGTGGGCGGTCATTAGTTGCAGGGAGAAAATTAGCCAGCGAATTAAAATTTTATCAGTTAAATAGAAATGAATGGCAGCAAAGAGACATGCCATTCAGATGACGTATAATAAAAAGAAAATGTATGTATTACTAATACTGAGAGTACACAGGAATCTCTTTCATTGCCAAAATAAAAAAATTAGAAGCACCTATTGTATGGCAGATAACAGAGCTGAAGACAATGAACAAATATTTAAGGGAGGCATTATTATATTGGTGTTGAAGACAGACTTAATTTGGAATTTCACTTTTGCCAATATTAACTGTGTGATTTTAAGAAAGTAACATTAGCCCTTTACAGTTTTGTTTTCTTATCTTAAAAAGTTAGCCAAATATTTTATTAAATATTTAAGAGTAACCGCTAAAGAAGAAAAAAAAAATCTGATGGCTTTCTAAACAGTAAAGGTAAAAATAAGGAATAAAAGCCTATCACTTCAACAGAGGTAAGAAAGAAGAATAAAAAGAGGCAGAGAAAAGAGGCAAGAAACAACACAAAATAAGATGTAGATCTGTCCAAATATAATTAATTACAATTACAAAAAATACAAACAAAAACTCACTTATTAACAGATAATTTATGAAATTATATTTAAAATAATTTTTTGGTGTTATATTACTCACCAGATATACACCTAAAATAAAACGACAGAGAGAGGTTGAAAGCTACCTCCTCCATTCCCTCCCCAGTTCCTTTCCAATCCAAAACCTGTCAGGCAATTATTCTGCCTTCGCCTTTCCTGCTGGCCAGAGCCTTCAGCTTCACTTAGCCAAGGGAGATGGAAGTTGGGGGCAGTGTCTGGAAATAAGTCAGACAGTGGAATTTAAGACAAAACACATCAATAGGGATATTTTGGTAAACGACATAATGAAATAAAGAATAATTCACTAAGATACTAAGTCTGACTGTGTACAGACTAAGATACTAAGTCTGACTGTAGAAAGAGTGTCAATGTTTATCTTTAAAAGAGATGCAATGGATATAATAGTTTTATTTTACTTTTGCATTCTAGTGCACATTTCCACACTCTTTAATAACTAGTGCTTAGTATTTCTTTCAATTTTTCCCCCTCTTAGTGCTAATTTGACACCACTCCATTAAAAGAGATCCTGATTAGCTTAAGTCAATAAGTTAGTTATTGATCCAGGCATGGGGGGCTAACTCAACTAAGAGACACTTGTTTAGACTCTCCCAAACAAACTCCCCTGCATTTCCCATGCTTTCAAGGTGTGAAGTTGTCTTCTTTGTAATTATAGCCATCTTGCAACCAAGAGGGGAGACACGAAAGCTACTGGCAGCCATTACCAGGATCCTGCTTGGCTAACGTACAGCCAAGAGACAGATCCTTGCCTACTTGCAACTAGAATCAAGTTATACCATTTGTTATTTAAGCCAATCCAAGTTCTCTATTACTTGAAAATGAAGTAATTATGACTCTGTTTTTCTTTAAGGTTATTGTGAGGATAAAGTTAGATTATATAAGTTGTTAACACAGTACTCGGTACATTGCACTTTCTCAACAACGCACCTTTAAGGACAAATGGTGTGTGAACAGCTTAGACAACAAAAATTGTTTCAGTGGTTGCTACCAACAGTCATTCTTGTCCAGTATGCATTTCATCTTACTTCAATTCAGCAAGTACTTATTCATTTGAGCATTAATCCAACCAATAATGGAATTTATTATGAGGAAGGCATTGTGCCCAGGACTGTCACTTATACTGAGAAGTATCATAATGTTTACTTCAATACTGTTGCTGATACAAAAAGAGAGAAACAGTACTTTAGTGAATTGAATTACTTGTAATCTCTCAAGGAGACAAGCATTTAGAGAATCGTATAAACAGTGTGTGATTATGTGCCAAACTGCATGGCATACAGGCAAATGAGTATAATAGATATTCCACTAAAGGAAAAGAATAGTGCACAGAAAGATGAAATATTCTCACTAGAAAAATGCCTGAGTGTTAAATTTTATTAGGTAACATATTACAGACTAAGTGTGTGAGAAAAGGATGTCTAATAGCCCAAATGCATAATTTCTACTCCCTTCCCTTTGGTGCTTTTTGTTTTGTTTTTTGATATTTGTAAGTTATTTTTTTCCTTAATTTGGATTGTTAGTCTTGCTTGAAAACACCAAAATCTTGCTTTATGAGGTTCTTTAAGGCTCTATATTATTAATAAACACTGTTAAAACAGGACTCTCAGGTATTTCTAGTAATACAAACATCTGGAGAGAGTCCACGAAAGATTTAGGAAGAGGATCACAGATTTTCAGTGACTGAAGATGCCCTGGAGGTCACATATCCAGTTCTCTACCCAAATTATTTACAGTAAATTTGACAAAATAACAGAGTTGCTGATTTCAAAAATGTTTAGTACATAAAGAGAAAAAAATTAAATTAGACTGGGAATTTGAGGTAGTAGAAATATTTTTTAGGCAAGCAAAGAATTATGTGTAAATGAATAATCATTAAAAACAACATGAGATGTCTATTCTCTACAAAAAGCTGACAACTTAATTATTGATTACATTTATCCAAGGACAAAAAAAAATGGGATTCAAATGGAATTGCTTTTATTTTAATATACTCCAAACTGTTAAAAGGTTGTGATAGTGATTCATGAAAGAATGTGTTTGAGTCTCTGTGCTGGAGGCAGGGTAGAATGAATATGCATAGCGTAAGTCATGCTGCTGACTGGTAAATGAGAAGGTCTAAGGAGAGGGAGATGGATTGAGGTCATGGAAACCTGAGGAAATGCACTTAGATGTACTACTATAACTATCAATCGTGTTCTTGGCCTGAAGGTGCAAGTGAGTATGGGTTCACTGGTCTGCTTCTAAGGACTCTATCTTTTTTTTCTTTGTTTTGTTTTGGCTTTAGGCTGTCAAGCCTCAGGAACCTATTATAGAAGTCTTATTAGAGAATATCTTTTCTCACTCTTTTCAGCCACCTAGGTTCAAAGGAATGACCTTATTTTCTCCTTTGTGGGAACACCTGTTAGTTGAATTTTACTTCCCTTCATGATAGGAGTTTGTTTATTTTAGGCACTTTGATATTAGTGTGTGGTAATTTATGACATTTTGCAGGAATTTTTTTTTGTTTAGATGCTATCATTTACTTGTTGAAATATAGAATAATAAATAGCAGCCTTTCCTTTGCCCTCACCCTATTGGATCTCATCTAGCATTCTATATAATATCTTTCCCATTCTGGTCCTAGATTAAACCTTGGTTAAAATTGCAAATTACAAGTGAGAAGTAAGTTTGAAAAAATCCTGCTAATTTATGCATATTGCTATGGACTGAGTATTTGTGTTCCCTCCATTCAAATTCATATGTGGAAACCCTACACCCCAATGTAACAATATTTAGAGGTGGGGCCTTTGGGAAGTAATGAGGTTTACGTGAAGTCATGAAGGTGGAGCCTCCGTGATGAAATTACTGCCATTCAAAGAAGAGGAAGATGTCAGAGCTCACTCTTTCTGTCATGTGATGTTACAGCAAGAAGGTAGCCATCTGCAAACCAGGAAAAGAGCCCTCACCAGATACCAGTCTGCCAGCATCTTGATCTTGAATGTCTCAGATTTTAAAACTGTAAGAAACGTTTGTTAAGCCACCCAGTTTATGATATTTTAATATAGCAGCCTGAACTGACTATGGCATTCATTTTATTTAAAAAGTCTTTGCTTTAAGAAATATTTGGACTTACATCCATTCTCCAAAATCTAACTGCCTAACTTAGGCCAGTCAGCAGGAAGAATTCGAGATTATGCAAGGGTGCAGGAAGATGGAGACAAGCCTGAGCTCAAATGTAGCTACTCTCATGCATCAGTTTTGGGACTAAGAAAAAAATGCTTTACTTCTCTTAGCCTTAGGTAAGGCACCTATAAAAATGTTTATAGCAACCACACCATTGAGGAGACCTCATATAAGCTATCCTAATTGCTATTACTGCTTCACTTGATGTCTCTCCTTTGCTTGAAAGTTCCTTTCTCCTTCAGAGCTCACGTAGTTATCCTCTTGAACTTGGGTTCCCCATCAAAAACATTCTTCCAAGATGGATGTGAACTATTTTTAGTTTAAGTATTCTTTGAAATACTCACTGAGTGCCTGTATGTGACAGGGACTCCTCCAGGTCTTTGGAGTTCATGAGTAAATCAAACAGATCCTTTCCCTTGTGATGTTTAAACTTATATTTAAATAGCTACTTCATTTTCAAGAAGCTCCCCCTAAAAACATCATATGGTTGCTTTGGGGATTAAACGTAATTATCTTTGCAATATTGTATCTATGAACCATCAACAGATTTTGATTCACTTTCAGAATGGAAAACCTTTGGTTTTACTTTAGATAATATTCAACTTCAATAAATTTTCATCCGTGTATAAACTGTCTTTATTTGGGTTTCCTTAGAAGCAGATCCTGAGAAACAGATTTGAGTACAAATAGTTTAGTTAGGAGCTGATACTAGGAAATATCTAAACTTTTTCATAGTGGAAAGGGGAAGAAAAGAAATAAAGTTTGCATTGTCAAATATGTTAGCAATCTGGACAATTGAAGCCTAACCCCACTGGGAAACTCTAAGTATCATTGCAGAACTCACAGCTTAGGGTCTGCCCAAGGGGGTAGGGAGATGAATATTTATCCACCAACTTCTGTAATTGTTTGAGGGCTTTCCCTAGAGAGAGTTAATGCCCTTCTACTTCAGGTCTACCTGTAGAGCCCTCCTGGCAAAGGTGATAGCTGACTGCAATTTGCACCCACAAGCATAGAAATGATAATTAATCAAGGACTATGGGCAGGGCACCAATAGCATGCGCTACCGGAAATTCTAGATAACATTCATTATAATGAAAGAGTAACTGTGGTAGTTCGAGTATTCACCTCTTAATATAGCCTGGGGGCAAAATCTGCTCTGGAATTCAAAATGGGATCTGACTTCTCATTCTATGTGGTCCAGGCCTTCATCGTGGCATTCCTTCCTTCGAGTACGTCTTTCCATGCCTTCTCTCTAATCTATCCCTACTTTCCCTCTCTCTCCTCTCCTCTGGCCCCTGCCACACTCCCTTCATCTCACCATTACAAAATAAGAGCAAATCCTGTTAGCTCAGTCTACACTTAGTATCATCGCTATTACAACAACCCAATACTGCAATATCATCCTAACTAGTCTGCCAGTTTCTACTCTTTACCTTCTAGAGTTTATTGTTCATCAAGAATTCAAAGTGATTATTAAAAATCATAAGTCAAATCACATAATGCCTGTGTTCAAAACTTTCTTCTCTAACTTACTTTCATGAAGGTCTATGAGGCATCACTTGTTCTGTGTACTCACACGACCTTAGATGACTTATCTCCTACAGGTCTCCCCCTTGCTCAGTCCACTGCAGACACATTGGGCTCTGTGCTGTTCACAGGGCACACTCTCTTGCCTCAGAGCTATCATATTTCCCCATAATTTCTCCAGATTATTTGCTGGAGCTCCTAACTGGTGAGCTCAGGACTACATAGCTTGCATTTTTGGAACCTGTGTGCCAGGCCTTTTGCAACACTGTTGCTAGTGCAGCTCCTAAGGGTCTTGCCCTTTAAGTAAGGTCTCTGATGAAGTATCACCTTTCCAGAAATTACTCTCCTGAGCATTCTATCCAAAATAGCATCCACCCTGATTATTTATCTCCTTACTAAACTTTATAGCATTTAGTGCTATTCATCATCATATCCTGTATCAGTTTATTATTTTTTTTTAGTTATAGTTTCATCACTTGAACATAAATTCCATGTGGGCAGGTACTTTATCTGCTTTGCTTAAAATTATATCCTCAGCACCTACAATGGTGCTATATCAGTAAGCATATGCTAGGTTATGCCTCATTAACAAAATAACTCTGATGTTTTATGGCTTAACACAGGGAGAGTATCTTTCATCTCCGTCTACACAGCCAATGTAAACGTGAAATGGAGCTCTATTCATCGCGGTCGATTAATCACCAGACAAATAGAGGCTCCAATGGCCATGCCTTCCACAATCACTTTGATATTTAAATCTATCAGAAGTGACACAAGTTAAGACTCCTACTCACATTTCACTGGCTAAAGAAAGTAGTCATATGGCGGCAGATGGAGAAGTGTAATTCTCTCAAGTGCCCTTGGGAACAGCCTTAATAACTACCAGAAGTCCTTAGCTCATATTAGATCATCAGTGCGTACTTGCATAACGAAAAAATAAATGGGCAGGTTGAATAAGCCACACACCATATAAACAAATTTAAAGACATTTTTCATAACATCTATCCAGAAATACAGGTAAATATATAACATTTAAAATATAAAATATTTTATAAGTTCCATGAGTATAGGAACTTATCTCTTATATTCAGATCCCTAAAGCCATTCTCAATACATGATAAGTCTACAATATCAAAGATATTCATCATATCTTTGATGAATGACTGAATGAATGAATAAATAAATGTTTAGGTAATGTGATGACTGTATTAGTATCTAATTGGCTTTGCTTTAAAAAATATTTAAAATGTTTTGTATACATACATATATACACACCTTAAATATAATTAAAAGTATATATTTATGTTTATATACATATATTAAAATAAAGCAGTGCATAATTACTCATTTCACATCAGAAAGTATAACTTAGAACTATGAAAGGAATTGCTGTTTTGTTTTAGGGTGCTTGGAAGTAGTTGTTTGCATTTTCCCTCTTCTAGAATAAATTTATAATTCTATTCAATATTTATTGTACTTAGGGAGACACTTTACCTTGTTTTTAGTTTTCATAATATTTAAATACATATTTTGTGACAATAAAAGATTATCTCCAAAATGGGAAACTGGTATTCAAAGGGCTGTTTTTGAAGTGAAATTTTATAGGAGCTGAGCTTCATCACACAAGCTTTCTAAAGACTATCACATAAACAATTCCCATCAATGACTTCTTCACAAACCATGCATACAAAACATATAAACTTCACATTTTCCAAGGAACATCATCTAACCTAACTGAAGCAAAGAGAAAGATTGAATTACGGTCTACAGATCCCTCATCACAAAATCTAATTTTGAGATTGCAATTTCAATCTCACTCTGATTCATTTTTATTCAGTCTACAGAATTATTTATTATTTTCATATTGAGAAGCTATGTGAGGACATTCAACACATTCCCTGAATCTAAATTAGATTATTGTAACATAAATACATTAATTAACTGCAGATTTAATGAAGCAATGAAGAAGAAAAGAAAATAATAGACATTTTGGAAAGACAGACTCTTGAGAGGTATTTTTAAAGTGGCAGATTAGGATCTAATTATGCATCCCTACTGCAAACCATTGTTTATAGAAAGTATTATTGAGTGCTTTCCATACATTCAACATTGTTCTAAGAGCTTTGTGTACATTAATTCTTTGAATTCTCACAAAACCCAATAAAAATATTATTATCCTCTTTTTACCATTGAGGAACACAAAATATAAATGATTAAGTGACGCATTTGAATATATCAAGGTAGTAACTTGGTCTGTCCCCACACAGTTTGGTTGTGGAATCTGTGTGCTAGGTCATTTGCTGTTAGTTCAGTCCCTGAAAAAGCATTATATGAAAATATTTGAAAATATCCACTCGTATTTTGAATCTAGACTGTAGATCAACGAATATCCAGCCAAATGTTTCCTGTATTAGATGTAATTTGCAGGATATCAGAAACCCCTAATATACATGTATTGCAACTGTTATCAGTTAATTAATGACATCATTGAATGCCTGTTGCATACATCATAGCACATAGGGCATTGAAAAGGAATTGAGAATATTATAGAATTAAACAGATACCATCAAAATGAAAATAATATCTAAGTGAATCATTACAATGTTTGCTTATGAGCTAATCTATTGTCATCTATTAAATGTGTAAATGATGATGGAGTCGATATCCCAGCCCAACAAGAACTGACAATGAAATGAGTGGGAGTGGGAAGGCAGATATACAAACAAATGATTACAATATAAGATTATGTATGTTGTATTAGAGGTTCATTCAAATTATAAGAAAGCAAAATGAAGATGCTTCACAGAGAAAGTTCCTTTGAGCTAAATATGGAAGAATGAATAGGAAATTAACTGTCTAGTGTACTCCTATTCATTCACATATATGATGTCTGTGTATATATACATACATAATTGCAAATATACATGTTCAATTTATAATGCCAGTATATGCAATTTGAAATTATGTAGAAAATTACAACCCCACCAATTCAAGCACATATAATTATAATATATGCATTTATATATGTAATAGAAACACATATGTGTGTGTATATATACATATATATATACGTATGTATATGTCAAAGATTGCTTTTAGCCTCAAGTATCAGAATGCATAATTAGTCAATGGCTTAAACAAGTTAGGAATTTAGTTTTGTTTCTTAAGAAGGCTGGAGGTAGGTGGCCAGGGCTGGAACAATCTCCAAAGTGATATCAAGAATCCTGGTGCCCTCTGTCTTTCTGCGAAGTCTTGCTTAGCATGAAGCTTTAGTTTATATTGTGTTCTCGTTGTCACAAGTTGGTTGTTTTACCTCCAGCATTGTATTTTTATTCCAAATATGAAGAAGGAGAGGCAGAGAACAAAAGGTTGGTACCAATAAAAACTAAAGCATTTTAAACAAATTTTTTGGAAGCTTCACTCAATTTTTTCTATTTATATTTTTATTAAGCACAGCTGTGTCTCATGTCACCTTCACTTTCAAAGGCTGCTGAATGAATGCTGAGAATAATGCTTGTCTAAAAAGAAGTTCGAAATTTTGCTAGTAGAGAAGAAATGGCAAACGGTTTTGGATGGGAAATTTTCTGTGTGTACCACAGAGGAATAGTCATGGAAAACTGGAAAACTTTGTAAAATATTATGGATAAAATAATTATCCATATTTTGGTCACCTACACTTGCTGATAATTTAGTAGTATGAAGTCTCCAGAAATATTTTCTTTGGCAACATTTCCTTCATTTTTATTTATTTACAGTATAACTACAACATACTTTATTTAAATACTCATTTATTGTTGATCCTGTGGATTAGTTTTAGACTTTCAGTATTATAAATAATGTTACAATTATCATTTTAATCTTAAAATATTTACACAATCTTGGTTTATATTTTAAGGTGGATTTCCAGAAATAGGATTACTGGGTTGAAGGCTGTGACTATTTTTTTTAATCTTAATTCTTACCGCCAAACTGCTTGACCTAAAATTATTGCTACTTACTTTATAACAGCAAAATATGTCATTTGATCTATAACTAAATTAGATATAATTATAAAGCTTTTAAAATTTTACATACAAAAAAGAAATCTTATTTTATTTGCATTTTGGTAAGTGAACATTTTTCCACTTTCCCTGTTTCTTCATGAGTTGTATTTTGATTTTGTTTTTTGTAAATTATACAATCATTCCCTTTTCTTATTAGTTAATTTGATTCACAATACTTTTCTTAATAATGTGTCTAGCCTTTTAATGTAAATTAAAAATCTTAATTCTGCCTATCAAAATCTGTGGCAAATAGTTTCCTTAGGTTAATTGGCTTTTCTATACTAATTATGCTTGTAACACAAAAAATAAAAATTAGAGCAAACTGAACCAATTTCGGAGATAAACCTCTGACTTTTTAAAATGAAGTCACCAGTACAAAGGGAGTTAAATGAGAAGTTAAGGTCACACAATTAATAAAAGGCAAAATTAGATTTAGACATGTTACCCACTCTAAATTCCCAGTAAAGGTCTCTTTTCATCATTTAACATTCTAGAGCTTTGGGAATATAATAACAATAAATAACATCATTCTAATTTATAATAATTAATATAATGAGTATTTTGTATTAGAAAAAATGGGTTACTTTCAAATATTGTTACAAATATACATAGGATATCTCTTTGTTTTAAACAAACACATTGCTAATAAGGTAAAAACACATTGGTAATAATGTGATGTTGCAATATCCTTACATAGTAACTGGATTTTCATCTGTTTAGCAACAAAAATAACAATGACAATGATAACCATACTACTACTAATAATATAATGGCCTGGCAGAGAGAAGTTGCAGTAACTAGTGAGCAAATTACTTAGAGACTCTGTTTCCGTGTTTGACAGTTTCATTACTCATTAGGTATCTGTTTCTTTTATAACAGCTTTACTGAGATATAAATCACATACCATAAAATTCACTCTTTCAGTTCTTTCATTCTTTTATTATTTAGAAAAAAATTATTGTATATATTTAAGGTGCACAATATGAAGTTTTTATGTACAATAGATAGTAAAATGGTTAGCATAGACAAGCAAATTAACATATCCATATATCTCAATTTCAAATTATACAATTCTGTGTTTCCTTAGTATATTTGCAGAATTGTTCAACATAACCGCTATCTAATTCTAAGAAATTTTCCTCATCTGAAAAATAAACCCAATACCCATCAGCACTCATTTCCTACTCTCCCTTCTCTTAACCCCTGATAAATGCAAATATACTTTCTGTCTCCATAAATTTGCCTATTCTGAACATTTCATATAAATTGAATCATACAATAAGTGATGTTTTGTGATGAGCTTCTTTTACTAAACATATATTTTCCAAGGTAGATCTATATTGTAAAATAGATCAGTATTTCACTACATGTTAAGGCTGAATAATATTCCATCATGTGGATATAACACTTTGCTTTATGGATTCATCAGTTCATGTATATTTTGTATTATTTCCACATTTGGCTACTAATAATGCTGCTATGTACATTTGAATACAAGTTTTTGTGTGAACATAAGTTTTTATATATTGGGTATACACTGAAGTGTGGAACTGGTAGGTCATTTGGTAATTCTATGTTTAATAGATTAAGAAAGCATCTTACTGTTTTCTAAAGTGACTATACTATTATATAATCATATCAATGAAGTAGGAGGGATTTCTCCACATACCTGCCAAAAGTTGTACTTGCCTATCTTTTTTTATTATTATTATTTTAACTATCCTATGGTTATGAAGTATTTCACTGTGGTTCTGACTTGCATACCCCTAATGGGTAAAGGTGCTGAGACTCTTGTCATGCATTTATCGGCAATTTGTGTATCTTATTTAGAGAAAAATATGTTTTATGTATTTTGAATATGAGTCTTTTATCAAACACATGATTTACAAATATGTTCTTCCATTCTGGAGGCTGTATTTTCACTTTCTTGAAAGCCTTTTTCTTTTTTTTCAAGCACAATTCTCCCAGCTTTATTGAGTTGTAATTGAAAAAATAAAAATTGCATAATTTTAGTTTATAATGTAATGTTTTGAGATATGTATACAATGTAATGTTTTGAGATATGTATACAATGTAATGTTTTGAGATATGTATACAATGTAATGTTTTGATATATGTATTGTGAAATTGTTACCACAATCAAGACAATTAACATATACATCACCCCACATACTTTTTTGTAGATATTGAGAACACTTAAAATCTACTGTTAGCAAATATCAAGTATACAATACAGTATTGTTAAATCTTGTCACATTGCTGCAAATTACATCTCTAGAACTGATTTATCCTGCATAACTAAAGCTTTCTACCGTTTATTCAAATGCCTCATCATTTCCTACGTATCCCAGCCCCTGAAAACCACCATTCTACTTTCTGCTTTTATGAGATCGTGATTTTTAGATTTTCCATATGAGTGAGATCATGCAGTATTTATCTTTCTGTGTCTGGCTTACTTCACTTAGCATGAATGGACCAGGAACACATTCTCGTTCATTCATGTTGTTACAATGACAGGATTTTCTTCTTTTTTATGACTGAATGATATGCCACTGGAGTGTGTGTGTGTTGGTGTGTGTATGTATGCGTTTGTCTGTTTCTGTATCTCACAGTTTCTTTATCCATTCATCCACGGGCAGATATTTACGTTGTTTCCATGCTTTGGTTATTGCTAATAATGCTGCAATGAATATGGAAATGCAGATATCTCTTTGACGTACTTATTTCCTTTCCTTTGGATATATACCCAGAAGTAAGATTGCTGGTTTATTTGATAGTTCTAGTCTAACTTTTGGAGGAATCTCCATACTGTTTTTCATAATGGCAGTAACAACTTACATTCCCACCAACTGTACAAGGGTTGCTTTTTCTCTACAACTTCTTCAACACCTGTCATGTTTTGTCATTTTGACAGCAGTTATCTTAACATGTGTTAAGTGATAACTCATTGTACTTATGATTGTATTTTCCTGGTGATTAGTGATGTTGAGCACCTTTTCATATAACAGTTGGCCTTTCATACATCTTATTTGGAGAAATGACTGAGCCTTTTGCCCAATTTTTAATCAGGTTATTTGTTTTCTTCTATTGAATTACTTGAGTATCATATATTGTAGATATTCACCCCTTATGGGATGGATAGCTTGCAAACATTTTCTTCTTCCCATTCCTTAGGCTGTTATTTTACTTTGTTGATTGTTTTCTTTGCTAGTACACAAACTTTTTGCTGTGATGAAAAAACCTACTTGTCTATTTCTGTTTTTATTGTCTGTACTTTAGGGGTCATGTCCCAAAATCATTGCCCAGCCAAATGTCAAGCAGCATTCCTCTATATTTCTTCTAGCAGTTTTATAGTTTCAGGTATTATGTCTAAGTATTTAATCCACTTTGAGTTGACTTTTATATATAGTGTGAGATAATGGTCCAGTTTCTTTCTTCTACATATGGATATCCAGTTCTCTCAACATTATTTATTGAAGAGACTATTCCTTCGTCCCCCCATTGTATGCTTTTGGGACTTTTGTCAAAGATCAGTTGACTACAAATGTGGAGAATTACCTCTGCACTCTCTATTCTGTTACATTCTTTTACACATCTGTTTCCACAGTACTATACAGTTTTGATTACTTTATTTTAATAATATATTTTGAGATCAGGAATTGTGATGCCTCCAGCTTTCTTCTTACTCAAGATTGCTTTGGGTATTCTGTACCTGTTATGATTCCATATGAATTTCAGAATTTTTTTTCTGTTTCTGCAAAAAATAAGAGATTTTGGTAAAGAATGAGTTGAATTTTATCACCTTGTGTACTACAGGTATTTTAAGAATATTATTTTTTCCAATCCATTAACATGGGATATCTTCATTTATTTATGTCATCTTCAATTTCTTTCATCAGCGTTTTATAGTTTCAAGTGCACAGATCTTTCACTTTGTTGGTTAAATTTATTCTTAAGTTTTTTTTATTTCTTATGATATTTTAAATGGTGTTGCTGTCTTAATTTCATTTTGGATATCTAATTGTTAATGTATAAAAATTGTATAAACTTAAGGTGTACAACAAAGTAATTTGATATATGTATAATATTGATTTTTAATGTTGATTTTATATCCTGTTACTTTATTGAATTTATTTATTAGTTCTAATAGTTTTGGGTGGCATCTTTAGGGTTTTCTTCATATAATATCATGTGATCTGCAAACAGAGACAATTTTTCTTCTTCCTAATTTGGTTGTCTTTCTTTCTTTTTCTTGTTTAATTGCTCTGGATAGGACATACAGCATTATGTTGAATAGAAGTGGTAAGAGTAGAAACCTTTGTCTTGTTGCTGATCTTAGAGGAAAAGCATAGAGCTTTTCACTGTTTAATGTTTTCTGTGGGTGTTTCACATACAGCCTTTGTTATGTTGAGGTACATTCTTTCTTTATCCAATATATTGATAGTATTTATCATGAGAAGGTGTTGAATTTCATCAATTTCTTTTTCTGCATTTATTGAGATTATATGTTTTTATTCTTCATTCTGTTCATGTGTTGTATGACATTATTTTTGATATATTGAATCATCCTTACATCCCATGGTTAAATCCCACTTTACCATGGAGTGTAATCCTTTCATGTACTGTATTCTGTTATTTTGGAAAGGACTTTTACATCTATGTTCATCAGGGATATTTGCCTGTGGTTGTCTTTTCTCGTAGAATACTTGTAAGGTTTGATATTCAGGGTAATTTGGGCCTTGTAATATGAGTTTTGAAGCATACTGTCCTTTTCAATTTTTTTGGAGGAGCTTGAAAAGTATTGGCATTTATTATTTTTTAAATGTTTGTGGAATTCACTAGTAAAACCATCTGGTTGCAGGCTTTTCTTTGCTGAAAGGCTTTGGATTATTGATTCAATCTCTGATATGGTTTGCTTTTCTTTCCCCACCCAAATCTCATGTTCAATTGTAATCCCCAAGGTTGGAAGAGGGGCTTGGTGGAAGATGATTGGACCATGGGGGTGGATTTCTCCCTTGCTATTCTTGTGATAGTGAGTGAGTTCTCAAGAGATCTGGTTGTTTAAAAGTGTGTAGCACTTCCAACTTTGCTCTCTCTCTCCTGCTCTGCCATGTGAAGATGGTGCATGCTTCCTCTTCACCTTCCACCATGATTCTAAGTTTCCTGAGGCCTCCCTAGCCATGCCTCCTGTACAGCCTGTGGAACTGTGAGTCAATTAAACTTCTTTTCCCCATAAATAATGCGGTCTCAAGTATGTCTTTATCATAGTATGAGAACAAATACCATTTTGTTGATCTTTTTTATTATTTTTCTAGCCTCTACTTTACTTCTGCTGTAATATTTACTATTTCCTTCCTTCTGCTAACTTTGAGCTTAGTTTGTTCTTCTTTTTCTAATTCTTTGAGGTATATAGTTAGGTGGTTTATTTGAGGCCTTTTTCTCTTAACATGGGCATTTATTGATATAAAATTTCTTTTAGTAATTTTTTTTCACTGTATTCATGTCCTAAATGTTGGTATGTAGTGTTACTATTTTCCTTTCTCTCAAGTTATTTCCCTTTAGATTCAACTCATTATTTAGGAGTGTGTTTAATTTCCACACATTTTAAATTTTGTGATTTTTCTTCCTCTTATTGATTTCTAGTTTAATACCATTGTGGTCAGAAATAATTCTATGATTTCAGCCTTGTTAAATTTGTTAAGACTTGTTTTATGACTAAACATATAATCTATCTTGAAAGATGTCATAGGTGTGCTTGAGAAAAATGTGCATTCTGCTGCTGTTGGATAAAATGTCTGTCGAGCCCATGTGGTCTATAATGTTATTCATGTCTGTTGTTTCCTTATTTAATTTTCTATAGAGATGATATATTCAATGTTGATAACATAGTATCTATCTTCTACTATTGTATTTCTGTCTATTTCTTCTTTCAGTTTTGTTAATGTTTGCTTTATATATTTGGGTGCTGTATGTTAGATGCATATATTTTTTTCACTTGCTATATCCACTTAATGAAATGACCTTTTCTCATTATATAATGACATTCTTGGTTTTTTGTGACAATTTCTCACTTGATGTTCGTTTTGTCTAATATAATTATACTCACCCTTACTGTCTTTTGGTTACCATTTGCATGGCATATTTTTTGTATTCCTTCATTTCCTGTCTATGTCTGTTGTTAAAGCTAAAGCAAGTCTCTTGTAGGAAGCACACTGTTTGATCGTGTGTTTTAATCCATTCACCCACTCTATCTATTTTTACTGGAAAGCTTAATCCATTTATATTTTCAATAATTATATAGGTAATGACTAGATTTGGAAAATTACCATCTTGTTGTTCTGAACATTTTGCAGTTTCTTTGTTTCTTTCTTCTTCTCTTGTCATATTCCTTTGTAATTTTATGATTTTTTTTTTGCGGTGGTATAATTTGATTTCTTTATCTTTATCTATGTATATTTACTAGAGGTTTTTTTTATTTCTTATGTGTATCTGCTAGAGGTTCTTCTTTTTATATTGTATAACTTTCAACATATTATTTTCATTCTAATCATTTTAAACACTTTTGTCTTTTACCTTTAGATTAGAATTACAAGTAGTTTACACACTACCACTGCTGCATCAGATAATTATGACATTAACTATATATTTACCTTTGCCAGTGAGTTTTATGCTTTCATATGTTCCTCTTACCAAACAGCATATTTTGCTTCATCTTGAAGAACTCCCTTTACCATTTTTTAAGGCATGTCTAATGTTAATAAATTCCCTCTAAATTTTTGTTAGACATTTTATAGATTGTCATTTTGTTCATCTGGGAAAGTGTTTATCTCTTCTTTATTTCTTAAGGACAGTTTTTGTGGGTGTAGTATCTTGGTTGGCAGTCTTTTTCTTTCAGAATTTTGAATATATTATCTCACTCTCCTAGACTGGAAGCTTTCTGCTGAGAAATCATCTAATAGCTTAATGGGGTTTCCTTGCTTATAACAAGTGGCTTTTGTCTTGCTATTTTCAAAATTCTTTCTTTGTCCTTTACTTTTCATAATATTTTTATCGTGTGTCTTGGTATATTCTTTTTGAAGTTATTCTGTTTTAGAAATCTTTTAACTTCATGAACGTGGATGTTCATATCCCTCTCAAGATTTGGCACATTTTCAGTTATTATATCTTTAAATAAGCTCTCTTTTCCTTTTGTTATCTTCAGACACTTACATAATGTGTATACTGTTTCATTTAATTGTGTCCCATAGATCTCACTGGCTTACTTAACTCTTTTGTGTTCTTTTTTTATATCCTCTGACTGGATGATTTCAAATGACCTGTCTTTACATTCACAGATGCTTTCTTCTGCTTGAGTCTGCTCATGAAAGACTATTTCAATTTTTATTCCATTTATTGTCTTCAGTCCTGTATTTGTTTTTTTAAATAATTTCTGTCTCTTTGTTGAACTTTACATTTTGTTCATATATTGTTTTTCTTCTTTTTGTTCATTTTTCTGTGTTTCTGTAGCATCTTGAGCTTCCTTAAAACAATTATTTTGATTTTTTTTTAGATATTTCATAGATCTCTAATATTTTCAGGTTGGTTAGTGGAAAACTATTATGTTCTGTCATAGTGTTATGTTTCCTTGAGTTTTTGTGTTCAATGCAGTCTTTCATTACAGTCTTTTCATTTGGTGAAGATGTAACTTCCTGTAGAATTTATCATCTCTGGAGAGAAATACCTTCACCAATCAGCCTGGATATGGATTCTTGGGGTCTCCCAGACCTTTTCTATGGATGTACCTGTTCCACTCCTCCTGTTCCCTCTTGAGGAAAAGTTTAAGTATTGTATGTCTTCTCTCAATTCTACAAAGCCATGTTGGGTGCTGAGAGTCCCCTGTTTATTTTCTCCCTAGGGCAGTTTGCTCTGAAGTGCTTAGGTTCTGTGCTTTCTCCCAGTCCAGCAGTCTGTCAAGGTGACTATATGTGCTACAGTACAGTCTTCAGAGGTTTGCATGTGCTATCTGTGGGGGCACACATGGAGCACCTGCTAAGGAAGGGATGAATGCTGGGGGCATGTGTGGGTTAGTTGAGGAAATCTGCAAGGGATGCATATCACAAGCTTCATAAGTGAACCTTTTGGTGGAGTTCTTGGCTCTTTTTTAAAGTTCTTTCGACATACTATTTTGGTTCTTTTATTATTATTATTATTATTTTATGTTAATATTTTAACATATTATTTTAAGTTCTGTTCTCTGGTGTCTGTGAGCCTATCTTTCTTTTTTCTACTCTTAAATATCTGCAGGATACTTACACCTACTGTTCTCATGTTATCTGTGAGGTTTGGAAGGGGCATGCCTCTTAGACAGCATTCCACATGATTAAGGAAGGTAGGAATTCACTACGCTTTCAGTTTTCTCCGTTAGAGAAATCATGGATTAAGAGGGTCTCTCTTGGCACTGAGCTTTACTGCCTTGGGAAAAGGGGTGATGCTGATAAAGTAAAACTGTTCTTCTTACTTTTTTCAGTGTGTCTATTTTTGGATTATTTATCCCATTGGGCTGCTGGCACTTTTCCAGTGGACTCCCAGGTTCTCATAACAGTGCTTTTGTCCATGGGAGATTGTGAAAAAATATGTTTCTTAGGGTGGAATAAGGGCTGAAAACTTCTATTTTATCATCTTGCTGGCATCAACTCGAAGAACAAATTCTTAATTTTGTTGAAATCCAATTTATATTGTTATAGTTGTTTATTGTGCTTTAGGTGTTGTATCTAAGAAACCATCACTAACCATTATTGGATTTACTCATTTATTTTTTTATAAAAATTTTGTAGTATTAGCTATTACATTTAGGTCTATAATCCAGTTTAAGTTATTTTTGTATATGTTGTGAGGTAGGTGTCCAACTTCTTTCTTTTGCTTGTGGATATATTGTTGTCCCAGCACCATGGGTTGAAAATACTTTTTTTTTTCTTTGAGACAAAGTCTTGCTCTGTCGCCCAGGCTGGAGTGAATTGCTGTGATCTCAGCTCACTGCAACCTGCACCTCTTGGGTTCAAGCGATTCTCCTGCCTCAGCCTCCCGGGTAGCTGGGACCATAGGTGCACTCCACCACGCCCAGCTAATTTTTTGTATTTTTAATGGAGATAGGGTTTCATCATTTTGGCCAGGCTGGTCTCGAATTCCTCACCTCAGCTGATCTTCCCACCTCGGCCTCCCAAAGGGCTGTGATTACAAGCATGAGCCACCACACCCAGCCCAAAATGACTTTCCTTTTACCATTGAGATGTATTGGCACACTTGTTGAAAATCAATTGGTCATAAATATTAGGGTTTAGTTTTGGATTCTCAATTCTATTTAATTTATCAATCTCTCTGACCTTATGCCAGTACCACACTCCCTTGATTATTTTAGCTTCATAATAAATTTTGAAATTGAAAAGTGTAGGTTATCCAATTTTGTTTTTCATTTTCAAGATTGTTTTGGATATTTTATGTACTTTGTATTTCCATGTGAAATTTAGGATCAACTTGTCAATTTCTTCAGAGAAGCTAGCTGGGATTTTGATAGGAATTGTGATGAATCTGTAGGTCAATCTGGATTATATTATCATCTTAACAATATTAAGCCTATTGACCCATGAACATACATCAATATAGTTTTACAACTATTGCTTTCTGCAATTGTATTTGATATCAGATAAGAGTAATAAATAAAAATAAATGTATAAGTTTTCATATTTTCCTGTGTAGTTATACAGTTGCTCTTTATCCCTTCCACGGATTCAATTGGCGATTTATTGTCCTTCTCTTTCAGTCTGAAGGACTTTCTTTAAAATTTCTTATAAGGCAGGTTTCCTAGCAATGAATTCGCGCAGTTTTTGTTTATCTGGGAACATCTCAATTTCTCTTTCATTTTTGAAAGACAGTTTGGTTGGATAAGAAATATTGGCAGCTTTTATCCTTTGTTTCAGTACTGAATATATCATCCCACTTTCTTCTGGCCTCCCTGCTTTTGATAAGAAGTCAGCCATCTTTTTGAGGAGACTTTTGTGTGATGAGTGGCTCTTCTCTTGCTGTCTTCACATTTTTTTTTCTTTGTCTTTCAACAGTTCAACTACTATGTGTTGAAATATGCATCTCTTTAAATTATACCACATGGACTTCAAGTTTCTTAGGCAGATCAATGTTTTTCATAACATTTAAGAAAATTCTGGCCATCATATCTTCAAATAGTCTTTCTGCCACTTTCTCTTCACTCCTTCTTAAATCTCATGTGTATGTTGATACACTTCACAGCGTTTTTACAGGTTTCTGAGTCTCTGTTCATTTTTATTCATTCTTTTATTTTTCTCTTTATCAGATTGGATAATCTCTATGAATCTATCTTAAATTTAACTGATTATTTATTTGCCTGCTCAAATATACTGTTGAGTCCATGAAGGTACTTTCATTTCAGTTACTATACTTTTCAACTCCAGAATTTCTATTTGGTACTTAAAAATATTTCCTATCTCTTTGCTGATTTCTTTATTCAGGAAAAAAAGCACTTTCGTTTAGTTCTTTAGACATGGCTTCCATCACTTCTTAAATACATAAAATAGGTTCTTTTGACTATTTTTTCCCTCTCTTATGAGTCACACTTTCTTGTGTCTTCTCACGTCTTTTACATTTTTTGGCAATTGGACATTTTCATATAATGTAGAAACTCTAAAAATCAGATTCTTCTCTTTCACATGGCTTGTTGTTGCAGTTCATTGATTTTGGTGTCATCTTTTTTTAATGAAATATTCTGAAAAGTCTTTATTCTTGTCATCTGTAGTTCACTGAAGTCCCTGGTGGATTACAATAGTGATCAACTTACAATTAAACAAAGATTATCTTGAATGTATTGGCCAATAAGTCTCCCGGCTTTTGCCAATTGGTTTTGTGTATGTATTGGGGGCATGTCTTCAACGATCTGATGGTTTGCAGTCAGCCTTAGCTTTTCCTTCCTACCTATGCAGAAACTCAAGGTCACCCAGAGGTGAGAAAACAGGGCCTTGTCAGGTCTTTCTTGGGCATACACACAGCCTTGAATATGGGCACACCCCTGCACTTGTTGTGGCTTTCTAGGTTCCAGAGAATTTATAAGAAGCCTTTTTAAAGGCCTCTGTAGACATATCATCTCCCAGATTTTCCATTTAAGATTTTGGTCAGACTCATTTTCCCCAACTTGTATCACTGCCTCAAGCAACTGAAATATTAAACAATTGATTGTTTCTGTCAAATGTCCTGTGGATAGGATAGGGCTTTTTGCAATGAGTAAGCCCTGAGTTCAAATAAAAACAAGTCTTGTAAATGGCCCTGTTCTAGGGAGCTGGTAGACAATTCAAATATTGATAAAACTCTGGGAATGAGGCTTTTGGGGGTAGCTCCACATAGATAAGGCCCCCTTAGTGGCTACAAAGGTGATCTTTTACACAGATGTCTTTGTTGCAAGGTCACCGGATAGCAAGGCAACTGCACATGAGGTAGAGAAAGTGGGCAAGTTAAAATAACACAATGTTTGCTGTTAGAACTGAGATTCAACCATTTACCCCTAATAAACACTCCGTGGTATCGAAAGCCTTTGGTGGATTTCCAGAATTTAAAAAGTTGATTTGGACAATTTTTGCCCATATTCTTGTTGCTTTTTTTTTTTTTTTTTTTTTGGAGACAGAGTCTTGCTCTGGCTCTGTCGCCCAGGCTGGAATGCAGTGGCACAATCTCGGATCACTGCAAGCTCTGCCTCCCGGGTTCATGCCATTCTCCTGGATCAGCCTCCCGAGTAGCTGAGACAACAGGCGCCTGCCACCACACCCAGCTAAGTTTTTTGTATTTTTAGTAGAGACGGGTTCCACCATGTTAGTCAGGATGGTCCCGATCTCCTGACCTCGTGATCTGCCCGCCTTGGCCTCCCAAAGTGTGGGATTACAAGTGTGAGCCACCACGCCTGGCCTATCCTTGTTGCTTTTATGGAATAGCAGATTTTCAGATGCCTTTACTGTGTTATTCTAGAACTGCTGCTTTTTATTACATGTCTCTTAAAGAATTTTTATTTTCTCTATTACCAGGCAGTTCCATGTTAAAAATACATATCTGTTATTATATTTATAGATACAAAAAAAATCACAATTTATGGGAATACTTCAATTTGGAAACAATGTTATTTTTAGTTGTTCACTTCTATGAACTATGTTGTGATCAGCACCTATTTACAGAAAACTTTAAGCAACTGCATTGTTTACTTAAAATAATTTCTAAAAGAAGAATTCAGTAAAAATACATGAACATTTTTAAGGCCACTTTTAGGGAGGTATGTCAATTTTATATAATTTGCTCTCCACAAATAGTGTAAAAAAGAGTTCTTCTTGCATTAAAATAATTGGTTTCTAATAATGAACTGCTGGAAATCACACAAATTAGTGAGAAAAAATGTTGTTTTTCTACCCCAGAAATTCTTTATTAACAAAAGCAAGAGAAGAAGAAAATAAAAAGAATATTTGACAACTCCTAACTTCTTGAAGCCCTATTAAATTTTCTTTATTTTTTTTTACTTGAACCTTTCAATAGATCATAAGGCAATACGTTAGTTTGCTAAAGGCAGCCACAACAAAATACCACAGACTGGGTGGCTTAAATGCCATGTGAGAAACTGAGAAATTTATTTTCACACAATTATGGAGGCTGGGATTCTAAAATCAAGGTGTCAGCAGGTCTGGTTTCACTTGAGGCCTCTGTCCTCTCCAATGGATGCAGATGGCTGCCTTCTCACTGTGCCCTCAAATGGCCTTTTCTCGGTGCATGTTTTCCGTCTTCTTACAAGGACACCAGTCATGTTGGATTAGGGTGTACTTTCATTTAAATGACTTAATTTAATGTTAAATACTTCCCTAAGGCCCTATCTCTAAGTATTCACATTCTAAGCTACTGTGGGTTATGACTTCAAATATGAATTTTGGGGACACAAATCAGTCCATAACAAAAAAAATGTATATATGTATTTCATAATATATGTTTATATATATCTCCATATTTGCATCTCTATCATCTATAGATCTATCTGTCATCAATTTTCATAATTCATAGACTCTGCTGTTAAGGAACCTAGTTTTGGGATTCTGTTAGATCACATCCTCGGAGATTCAAGATGCTATTCAATAGATGTACTGATCAAATTTGCTTCAGAATTTTTAAATGAAAGCTTAGTTTCCTCAAACGCCTTTAAATAGACTAATCTAGGGAACTATATAATAAGAGCTGTTCAGTACAACTATAAATATCCAATAACAAATTTTGTTAAAATACTATTCTACCTTAAAAAGAAACCTGAACAATTAGCAATGTATTGAAATCCAATATGATTTATTTTACTAAAGAATAATGGTATTCGGATTTAAAACATGATTTTTTTTTTGCTAAACTAGAACAATATATAATTACCTAAATCCATGTTCTAATTTGTTCCTTTCATGCTACTCTGGCTGCATTATCATTAATGCTGATAAATTGCCTAGAGTGACTAGTAGAATTTTTCATTATCCAAAAGTGAATAAATGAATATTAAAATAGCCCTGTATGAAAAACATGCACACTCTGGCTACAGTGTAGAAAAAAACAATCCTGTTGTGCCTGTGATACTAGCTAGAAGGTGAAAGGTAAGAACCCAAGACATGGCTTGTCTTTTGCCATTAGTAAATATTCTGTCATCTCTAATGTACAGTACCCTACTAAATATTTCTTGCTTGAACATTACACATTTCAAATGATTTTTTACCAAGCTCTAAACTTTTCCACATGTAATATGGTTATATTCAGTTAAAAATATTACCTATGTGGGCCACTGAAGCACATTCTGAGAAGCAAGTTTACAGGGCATATAAGTATTCAGAATTTCAAATACTCTTTTATTTTACTGTCAAATTGAATTTAGATTAAAATATTCCTTTTTTAAAATTAAGCTAATGTAGTCAAAATAATATTCTTTCATTGCTATGTTTAAATAGTATATTAAATACAGAAGTATAAAATATTTTTTATGGTTTTGACTGTGATATTGCAAAAAGCCATCATTCCTATTTTATAATGAAGAAATCAACAATCTTGCCATTTTCCATTTCTCATACCCATTTACATCTTAGTATGCTTATCTTTACTAAGAGATTTTTTTTTACATTGGCATCATAATGTTTGAGGAGATGTGAATGGTACAGAATGTTCTGTGAGTTGGCAAGATCTGAGTCTTATTCTTGGATCCACTATTAACATGTATTATCATAGACAAGTTACTGAACTTCTAAATCTCAGTTCTTCTCAAATGGGGATAAATATTTTCTCAAAGTGTTATGAGAATTAAATGGGAATTCTCATTAACATAGAAAAAGTGCTCAATGGGGGACTTTAAACAATGTTTTTTGTTTTTGTTTTTGTTTTCCTGAAATGTGATTATCTAAGCATTCTGAGTATTCAATCTTTTCTCATTTTCTGTTGGTGCCATCAGGCTAAATGAGAAAAAGGTCAATCCAAATTAATTAATTTCAAGAATCTATTGTCAACTTTCAGATCAGAAAAAGGAACTGTTTAAAACAATTCTATATTATATTGACATTGAAGCCTATTAAGAATATTATATTCTAGTCTTTAGTAATTGCAATATTTTTCTACCATGCTGAATAGTAATTAAAAGTGTATATGTTTGATTTTTATATTTATGAATATAAATGTACTTACTTAAAATTAAAATAATATCATTATAAACATTATATTTGTAAGCCAAATTTGTAAAATCTATCACTGATCTCTAATCCATTCTTAAGGTGTCAGTACTTTATGAATGAAACTTTATATTAACATTCAAATATTCATATGAAACATTTTCTTTTGCTTTCAACATATTATTCTATTTTGTCTAAGTTTCATGTATATATGTTATTCATACATTTAATATAGGTATAGACATGTACCTACAAGATCAGATTCATAAGGTTAAAGGCTAAAAGATGGATCAGGTGATCTAATGGTTGACCATTTTTGGTCCTTGAATTGAGCTACAGTTACTATCTCATATATATTTAAGGATTTTACCTATGAATAGGAGAAAGAGGCAAGCTAGAAGGTCTATACTGGAACTGGGAAGAAACATTTGATGAATGCTGGATAGGGAAAAGAAGGGGATCTGGGTGTAACTATTGGGAAAGTGAACTCTAAATAAGGAACGCATGATGACAGGTAAGCAATTTTAACCTGGGAGGTCTGGGAATATAACACAAAGAACAGGATAAAGTAGCATCTTTAGAGCAGGTGCTAATGGGGAATCTAAGAGTTTGTCAACATTAGGGCAATTCTGGTGCTCTAGTGGCTGGGAATGAAAGCACAGCTGTAAATGCAAGATATAATTAGGGAGACAGGTTGCATAGTCATTATGAGCATGAACTCTGAGCCAAACTGCCTGTGTTACTTCACTTTTCTATCCTTTATTTACCTCACATATTAAATGGGGATAAAAATAGTACCTTCCTTATAGTATTTGTGAAACACTTGTAGCAGTGTCTTAACATATATTAAGGTGCTAAATAAGTATTTCACAACTTCATAGAAACTTCTAGACCCAATCTAGTCTTGTAGCTAAGAATAAGAACATAATTCCAGCTAATGCAGCAAGGAGTCGAGAATCAGGATTCCAGGTACAGCGGTTCCATAAACAGAATAAGAGCTCTGAGGTGAAGGCAAGTGTAGCTTTCATACCGAAAATGAAAGCCCATTGGTCAGCAGTGAGGCATTTAGTTCACAGAGAAGTGACACTGGAAGAAGATACAACTAAATCTGTCTGAGCTGGGGATAGGCTGAGAGTGGTGGAGATCAGATAAATCTGCTTCTCACTTCTGTCTAACTTGGCTTAGGAATTGAGGTGCAGTTGAGGTTTCAGGTAAGAAGCCTGAACCTAATGATGTAGACTGGGTAGAATAAATAGGAGCAATGAGTAAAGACTGACAAGATACCAGAACATAGGTGAGGAGTCAAATATTTCTACTGTGGGGAAAGGAGTGGTGCAAAGGTTAGAAACAAGGCATTTCATGTTTCTGTGTAGTTTTTCTAGTGAGTATAATGTTCTTAATGGCTGAATCCATTTCAGAATAATGTCTAATTTTTAATCTCTGTATTCTTGAACTATGCTTCATGATGTTTTGCATATAAAAGCATTACGTAAAATCCTTTTTTTAAAAAAAATGAATGATTAATGAAAACAATGTGAACAGGCTATCTCTGTGAAAGACGATTTCAGGTATCTTTCCATTCTAACTCATGGCATTAAATGTCCAATTATTACAAAGGAAAGCTATTTCCTTATCTTTGAAAAATGGAATTTAAGCGATTCTTGCCGAACTGTCTTGCTGGAGCACAATTAAGAGACAGACATAGACAAATCTAATGTCAAAGCAAAAGGCATAATTAAAATTCTGGATTTGGGTATTAGATTGAAGCAGACGCAGTAACGTGGAAAGAAGCTCCAGAATACAAAGCATGTGTATTAAATGACAGACTCAGAGTCAAGAGTTCAGAGGTCACAGGCAAGAAGAGAGGTGCTGGATTAAAGGTCAAGGTTGACTGAGATAGGCAAAGAAGGCAAATTGCTATCAGAGAAAACAAACGAAAAAAAAAAAAAGAAAACCCGAGGCAGAACTTCCACAGGATGCAGAAGTCTCTTTATCTGATCATATATTAGGAAGTCCCAGGTAATGGTGTCAAATTTATCTTTGGCACATTATTCAATTCTATGATGCCTAGTTTTCTCATAAATAAAGTGAGGGCACTTTAAGTTATTTTTAGGATTAAATGGTATAAGACTTATAAATCCCTTAAAGTAGTGCATAGCATATATAGTAAGTTTTAAATAAAAGAACAAAGAAAACTCAGGTGTGCCACTTACTAATGGTTTGGACTTTGGAAAATGTATCTTCCCTGAGTCTCAGTTTGTTTATATAAGAATTTACTGGGCAGCTATTTTTGGCATTAGATGAAATGGATTCCAACATCTGACCAAGTGCCTGGCATAGAGTAGGTGGCCAAGAAATAGAATAATCACAATGATTAACCCGTATTATTGACACGTATTATAGAAATATAATATAGATATTGGAAATAGGCAAAGAATACTGCATGTTCTTCCAGTGGAGCACTGTGCTACAGCAGGATGCACTGACTTCCTTTTAATGAGGCTGTTTTATAATTCTGTAAGAGCAGATGTTCCCTTATAGAAAATTTACAGCAGAGATGCAAATTATTTACATCTGTTCAACAGATAACTCCTGTAATCTTATTCTAACATTCTCTGTTCCTTATAAATATCTAATTCCTCAAATGCAATTTGAAATGATTTTAACGTGTTACTGGTAACCTAATTACTTTGTTATATAAAATCTTTGACCAAGATTCATTTTAAATTTGCATGAGACTCCTGTTTTTAACTTTTTGAAAATTATACTCTAATAATCTAAACACAAGTAGAGACAGAAGAAGGATGGTATCTGTCTTAATCTGCTCAGGCTACTAGAGCAAAATACCATAGTCTGGGTGGCTTAAACAACAAGTATTTATTTCTGACAATTCTGGAGGGTGGGAAGTCCAAGATCAGTGTCTGCTGAGGATTTGCTTCATAAATGGCTGTCTTTTCACTGGGTTCTCATGTGGCAGTCACTCTGGACCCTTATAAGGACATGAATCCTGTTCACGAGAATTCCACCCTCATGAGCTTATCTGATCCTAATTATCTCCCAAGGGAGGGACACGAGACTACAAGACCTGTCTCTAAGGTTAGCAAGTGGGCTGCAGCCATCACACTGGACTGCATGCAGCCTTCTCGACCCAAAACACACAGCCTGCTCCAGAATGTCAGTGCAGAAAAAAAAAAAATGTTTTACCATAAACTCAAGCAAAGGCATGTTGGCTGACAGCCCTAGAGAGGAAACCTTACCCAAGAGGTATGCAGGGAGACCACAAGGGATATAGCCAATAACTACAACAGTTTGAAACCTGAGAGCTATTACTTTACTGTTTTATTAGCCTCTTGCATAATTTAAAAAGAAGACAGGAAAACCAGCAGACAACTAGTTACTTATTATAAACTTTATCACAGTTGGTATAGTAGAAACTCAGTTGTTTCACGACCTAGTTACATTGCCCTTGACCATTTGGATTGTATAAGATCATAGTTTTCTGAAAAAAAGAAGGATTATTTCTAATTCAGAGAAAATTCAGAGGTCTTAAACATTAAATAAAACTTGATGCATCCCATAAATAAATTTTCAAAATATCTCCAAGAGGATTCCACACACATCTAATAGAATGCTCTTAATTATGTGCTGGAGTTTGGAAGATCCCCCAGCTAACCTAGAAGCTCTCTCAAGTAACTCCTTCAAACTGTAACACATTATTCACTATTTTTTTCAATTTATTAAATATGCCTTTTCAAGCTTGCTGCAGGTGTAAGTTTGAATTAGGATGTTATTTTTAAGAGCCAAGACAGAGTCCCTAGTCCTTTCATCATTTTATGTCAATATGTGATAATCTGTTAGGCTGAGTATTGCCTAAATATTTAACAAGACATAAACAAGCGTTCTCCATCAGGGGAAATTTCAGTTTAAAAATCCAAATCTTACCTTTTGTTAGCTGTGTGTGTATGTGTGGGTATATATATATATATATACACCATGAAATTATACATATACCATGAAATTATATAGTTATATATATAATTATATATTATATATTATATAGAATATATACAATATAATATATATTATATATAATATAAATAATAATATATTATATAATATAATTATATAATATATATAATATAATTATATAATATATATAATATATGATATTATGTTATATTATATAATATTATATAATAATATTATAATATAAATTATGTATATATTATTTATATACCATGAAATTGCTGTTCGTTTTTAGAGTCACCTCAATTAGAAATATCAGGCTGGGGCTAGGCACGGTGGCTCACGCCTGTAATCCCAGCATTTTGGGAGGCCAAGGCAGGCAGATCACAAGGTCAAGAGTTGAAGACCAGCCTGGCCAAGATGGTGAAACCCCATCTCTATTAAAAACAAAAAAATTAGCTGGACGTGGTGGGGGGGGCCTGTAATCCCAGGTAGTCGGGAGGCTGAGGCAGAGAATTGCTTGAACCCGGGAGGCAGAGGTTGCAGTGAGCCGAGATCGCGCCACTGCACTCCAGCCTGGGTGACAGAGCGAGACTCTGTCTCAAAAAAAAAAAAAAAAAAAAAAGGAAAGAAAGAAATATCAGGCTGGATCTGCTGCTGATTCATGCCTGTAATCCTAGCACTTTGGTAGGCCAAGGAAGGAAGATTGCTGAGGTCAGGAATTCAAGACCAGCCTGGGCAACATAGTGAGATCCTGTCTCTACAAAAAAAAAAAAAAAGGCTGGTTGTGGTGGCACACACCTGTAGTCCCAGCTACACAGCTACTCAGGGGGCTGATGCAGGAGGAATGCTTGAGCTCAGGAGTTCAAAGCTTCAGTGAACTGTGATCAGGCCACTGCACTCCAGCCTGGGTGACAGAGTTAAAATACTGTCTTTTAAAGAAAAAAAAAAAAAAAAGAAGAGGAAGAAAAGAAAAGAATATCAGATGGAGTTCTGCCTTCATACTTCCTGGGAAATCCTTGTATAAACCAGTAACATAGCACTTCTTAAAGTGTCTGTTAATTGCTTATTTACATATTTCTCTCCATAAGAAACCTAATTTTGAAAATTAATACAAATTCTTTTCTCTATGTCTCATATACAGCATCTTTCCAGGAAACAGAAGTTTCTCAACTTTTATTAAATGGATTAATGGATAGGTAAATTAATTTAAAAAGGAATCATTTTAGATGCCTGTCTGAATAGTGTCCCTCCATCACTAGGGACATGTTCAAGAGATTTTCTTACCTACCTATGCCACCCACATAGTATTTCATATATAGTATTTAATTTTATTCTTAGGAAAATCCTATGCCTTAGCTATCCTGCCCTATTTTTTCTATACGAAGAAATGAAGGATTTGCAAGTTAAGTAAGTTGTCCCAGAAAATAGTTAGTAGGTCTTTCTTAAGCCAAAATCTGACCTGAAACCACTGTATAATAATGCTTCTGTAGGTTTTTATTTTATTGAAATTATATAAAAATCATTTTTATCTTTTGACAAAGTTCTAAGGCACTTGGCAATATCAATACACGTTTTTATTTATGGAAATTAATTTTACCCACTTTAAATATTTACTAAACACTTATGATGTGTCCAGCACTGTTCTCGGTCCTACACCCATCTTGCAGTGAGGAAGTGAGAGATTCTTGGCCCAGAGAGACACAGAATAAACAAATGCATTGATATATATATATAATACACAAGAAAAACATTAGATGTTAGTAAATCTTGTGCAGAACATTACATCTGTGTGATGTGGGAGAGAGTATCTATTTTAGATTGGCTTCTTTAGATTGAATGGTAAGGAATAGTCTTTCGAAGCAGGACATATTTAAGTTATGATCTGAATTACGAATAAGTAGAATGGTGGTAAGACGGAGAAGCCTTTCAGAGGGAGGAAACAGCTAGTACAAATACCCCAAGACAGGACTTAATTTGTTTCAGTAATAGAAATGAGGCATGTGCAGGAGGGCAAGAAGAATAAGACCATCTTTTGAAGCTGGAAAGGCAATCAGGAGTCAGATAATATAAATAGTAAATCAGAGTAAGGGTTTTAGATTTTAAGTGTGATTAAATGCTTGGAATGGAATGTCCTGAGGCAGAATCCTCTGGCCACAGCTTTGTCAGTTTACCCCAATATACTACTTAAATATTATCATTATCTATCTGTAGCACAACATGAAAAGGCTGGGAAGCAGTGTGAGGGAGTGTTTACTATTGGGAGTTTGATTTAATGTGACTTGAAGTTGTAGGATATTTATACTCATTGGTCCAATTTCCTTCAGTTGATTTGCCTTATTTTTGTGAGCTAATGCTTGCCTGCTGCAGCCTCTTAGGACTAGTTTTCCAGCTCTTACAGAAGGATTAAAACCAACACAAGTGTAGCACTCCCGAAAAGTGACATGGGCCTTGTGCATTACAAGCATCTGATATCCTTCATTCATAGGGTGTTTACTGAGTGTCTTTTTGGGACCAGCTGGGTCTTCCAAGTGCAGGGGTATAGCAATGAAAAACATAGGATAAAATCTGCCTTCCTTGAGTTTATATTCAAATGGGGAAACAGAATAAATACATAGAACACGAACACGTTCGATGGTAACAAGTGCTAATGAGAAATATTAACCAAGGAAGGGAAATAGATAATGTAGATAAATATTTACAATCTTATTTTGGCCATGAAAGACTTGAGGAGGTGAAACACTAAGCATAAAAGTATCTGGTGGAAGATAGTTCCAGGCAGAAAGATCAGAGCCCTAAAGCTAGGGCATACATGTATATAGAAGAATCAAAGCTAGTGTGGCAATAGCTAAGTGGGTATGTATGAAGAGAGAAGTTAGAGAAGTTGTTTTAACCAAAATCAACCATTTTATCACTTGATAATCATTTTTTTTTAGTAAATGTACTGCATACCCTCAACACATAAAAACGAATTTCAAAGCCATCATAGTTTCCCTAGTTGAAACTTACTTCAATAGAATTTATAGAGAAATATTCACAGAGATTGATACTTCCTATGCATCATTTGTTTTCATTCAGCACATGTTTTATTCAATCCTACACTAAGTGGAAGCTGAAAGCACTATTTAATGTGTTAGTTCATGTGTGAACTACCATGGAATAATATTAAACGAAATTCATCTATTTTATCAGCTACTTGGGATGAGAACTATGTTAAGAATTCCTTCAGATCCTTGTGATTCACTAATATAATCATCTTTTATGAAACAAATACCTAGTGAAATATTAAGTAAACTGTAATTTAAATATAAACAAAAACTGAAATGAATTATAAAATTGGCTAACTAATTGGCAAAATTCAATACAAATAAAAATGTTAACTACTAAAATGTTCATGTTATAATAAAATATGTTTTGGAGAGAAGGAATACATATAGAAATTGTATTACAGAATCTTTTTACTTTGAGGTATGCAAAATGTATTTTCTACTTTATTCTGCAAATATAGCATACAAATTTTGTTTCATGTAGTCACATATGAAGGAACTGATAACAAATAAAATACTGTAGAATGTATTTGCTTTCCAATGCAGCCTATAAATTATTTCTTTAAAGAGAAATGTTATAAAAATCATTAGTTTCTTAAATGAAAGTATTTATGTAAAAATCAACAAACATTTTCCAAATTGGTAAGCATTCAATCCGATAGTAGAAGCTGTATGCTACTTTTATGAGAGGCAACACGGAGTGTAATTAAAGAAAAATTTATGAACCTCTTTTGTTATGACAACTCTATTGAGCTTTGTAATTTTTCTCTTATTGCTAAAAAGACTATTGGAAAAGCTATGTGGATTTATAATATGATAAGGGATTTTAAAAAATAGTTTGTTGCTTGTTATTTGAGTGTTTACAGATACAAATCACTCACCAAAACCTATACTATGGATGAAATTATTCAGTCAATTATCAAAAAATGTGAGTCAATACAAAATTCTCTATACACATCTGCACATTTACTTGTAAAAAGTATATACACATGGATGTAAATATACACATATATCCAAAGGATAAATAAGTAAAGAATATTTATATTTAACTATATTAACATACATAGATATAGGAATGTATAGGTGTATTTATATATTGTAATGAATGCAGGTGAAATAAAGTTTGATCCTCTTCATATTTATTTAGCTTTCAATTATTTAAAAATAATTGTATATCTAAAATATTTCTAGGATAAATAATTTATCTAATTGCCTTGACAATAGTAAATGTTCAATAAATATTTACTGAATTAACATTGCTAGTAAGAAAAGTTTCATTGTAAAATAGAACATTTTTATTTTGCTAAATTTATGTTTGTTAAAATAAAAAAAAATCAATGAAATACTACTTTAAATGAGAATTGCTTTCCTAAAATTAAAGTTGAAAAAATTTTTTCCTTGATGTTCTAAGATGATCACCTTCAGTTCTGTTATAATTTTCTAATTTATATCAGAACTTTGCCACTAATATGCCAATCACTTTTTGTTTTGTTTAGTAACTATAACAATAAAAGTTAACTAGATGACAAAATTGCATATGAACATAACACATGGATGTCAAAACTCATATTTCACTGAAGTTGCATCTGAAAATCCTTTATACAGAAAATAATATAAATATGCCCCAAAATACTAAAGGTAAAGATAAGGACAATATTAAAGCAAAATATTAAAGGTAAAGACGGACAATATTAAAGCAGAAACTATTTAGATAATTTTTCTATGGTCTTTAAATTTAGAACTTGGAAAAATTTATAACACAGGATCATTATTAGATTTCTGTGTGAGTCTCAAGGGTGTTTCTAGAATACAGGAAATAGAATCTTCTGGAGCCTAGTGGGAGTGGGCAGAAGCACCTGGAAAAACAGTCTATGATTTAAATTTATTTTCCTAGATATCTTGGTCAAAACTTGTCACAGGAAAGTGAGGGACTGAAAACAGAACTATACAGAGCTAACCTCGGCAAATATGATAGGCTATCACCTTGAATAATAGAGACTCAGTCCCAGGCCAGTTGTAGGAAATCAAGTGTCTAGGACTATGACATTATGATGCTTCCTCAGGCAAAAAAGGAATTCTATGAGATAGTAAACAAGTCCCATTTTTATTTACCTGAAAAGTGCTACAAAATATTTTTATGTTATCAATCAAGATTTCAACATTGTTAACAATGACCACCTAGAGCAGGGTTTCTCCTTGGCAATATTAACCTGGTGGGCAGGATAATTCTTGGCTGAGGTGAGCTGCCTTGTGCACTGTGGGATATTAAGTAGCATACCTGGCCTCTTCCCATTACTTTTTAGTGGCATCTCTGAAGTGTAGCATCCAAAACTATCTCTAGGTATTGCTCAGTGTTCACTGGGGGGCAAAAATGCCTCTGATTGAGTATTGCTGCTCTAAAGATGGTAACAAAAAGAATTAACATGTGTTACCCAAATATTATTTTTTTACCTTTCCTCTCATATAGTTTGACTTGATATTTTCTTTTTATATATTTGCTTTGCTCCCTTCTAATAAATATTTTCCTAATATATCAACAGAAAAAGTATTTAATTGTCTCTGTTGATGTATGCATGTATGCCTCCATTAAAGGTGACTTTACTGGTGAATTTTTCTCATAATGTGATTTAAGTTTTAGTTTTTCTTAATATTCCACCCCAAATTGACAGTTAGTGTTTTATCCCTATTCATGATAGTAAAAGGGAGAAAAGCAAGGTGTGTCTGTATGTGTGTGCGTGTAAAATTAACATTCAGAAAATCCCTAGAGAATTAGCCTACTATATCTGTTAACCTAAAATATGAGTGTTCATGTGTGACAATTACCTAATCACCTCAGTATCCTCTCCTTAGAAAATACAACTTTCTACTTGCAATTATGAAAGCCAGACTTAAAGAATTTAGAAGCATTCAGAATAAATCACAATTACCTATGCTCACTGAAAGTCTTTAAAATGTGTCTTTAGGAAGCTGGACATCAAATTCTATTTCTCTTTGCAGTATATGCAAAGCATTAACAAAATGTAGTTTTTGATAACATCTCTTCATTAATATTTACAAATGTACTTCGTACATTTTTTATCATGTTGGACTTCTGACAAAACCTTGTGAACCTTCTACAGAATATACTGCAAATAGTAGAATTTATGGAAATGTATAAAGAAGAATATCTCCCCTTGCAGTATTCTTTCCGCCTCATGAGACATTTATGAAAGGAAGAAAAGTAACCGAAAAAAGTTTCCTTACTTTTTCACACATTCTCTATTGAAAAAGGGAGTGATGCCCTTCACAACATTTTCCTTCCTTTTTATACCCCAAAGATTTCTCTTCTCAATGGAATGCCTTGATAAACTATTCAGTTACTGAGTAGTTTTTTAAAGTAAATTTTATTACCTCTTCCTGGACAAGAGTACTAGAGGAAAAGCTTTGTGTTAAGGGCATGCTGTCATTTTCTGCTATACCTTGCTAAATAAGTAAACAAATCCAGAGCCTTGAGGGATGAGTCATTGGCTCACTAACCTTCAGACATGAAGTGGTGAGCCACAGGATTCATGACGTTAACGCTCCTGAGAAATCATACAGAGGTATTTGTTAGTGAGATAAATTTTATTTATTCTCCTAATCTCTACCAATGCTAAGTAAAATTTCTAGGCTAATACTCCCTTTAACTTTGCTTATAAAAGTGCATATACCAGGCACCTAGTGCCCAATAAACAATTTTTCAGTGAAAATCAATGATAAAAGATATCACACTAGTTTGTGATTAGCTATGCTAAAGATATTTATGAAACTTAGAAATGTAACATATAGGTCTCTAAAAGTATGGGACAAAAGAGAGCACGGGAATAGCATGTTAGCTCTGCTCCAATTACATGTAGGATAAACAAATACAGACTCCACAGTACAATCGTATTGTTTTCAAGAATACCCTGGAGTCAGCAAAAGTGGTTATCTCTATACCCAAGATAACCAGGCTGAAACCCTGCTGTTTTTAATGGCCATATATGCTTGTTAAAAAGGTTATCACTGTATGCCTCTTGGCTCTATAGTTACACAAAAGCCTGTACCAAAAACAGAGATGACTTCCTTTCTCTCTTTCTGAATCAGACAGCTAGAGCTGTGGGAATTCAACGTGTGTGTATGTGTGTGTGTGCACGCGTGCACGTGTGTGTGTATGTGTATGTTTTGTTTTAAGAGTTTCTATATTTGATTAGTAGGTGATGATATTAGGCTGCAGCACCATAATTCAGTTTTGTTCTTTGTTTATTCAGGTCTTCAACAGCAGACGTACTCAGTAATAAAAATATATCTCAGTTTCCATCACGTTTATTTAGTCTCAGGGAAAAAAAATTAAAAGACCTCAGTGTAATGGCTCAGAAATGTAGAAGCTATATGATCAAATAAAAATCAAACTCATTAATTTTTTTACAGATATCTATAACATATAGCCATGAAAATGTTACCAAGGATGTCTATTGACTTTTTAATTTTACTTTCTCTTTTTATTAACATGTTGTTTTAATTGGGATTTAGCAGGTAGTCCAGGTTAGCTAACTGTGGTTCTTCTTGCACATCTCCATCCTCATTTGCCTGGCAATGTAACAAAAGCATTCCTCCCTTTTTGCACTTTTCAGATACAGATAATCACTCCTATCACCATACCTGGTGGAGGGGTGTGGTATGATAGCAGAGGGCTTAGTCTTTATTGTCAGACTAACGTAAGGGACACATAGCACTTATTGTGACAGCAGGCAAGTTTTTTATCCTTTTTAGGCCTCTATATGTTCATCCGTACAGTAGGGATAATTCTAGAGTCTGCTACTTAGAGTCATCATGGGTATTAAATGAGATATAAATGCTCTATATGTTCATCAGTACAGTAGGGATAATTCTAGAGTCTGCTACTTAGAATCATTATGGCTATTAAATGAGATGTAAATGCCATAGGTTAGGAATAATAGTTATTTTGCCTACTGTGTATGCCCAACAACAACAGAAATACCTGGCACAAAACAGTTGCTCAGTACATAGTTTGTCAAATGAATGAATGCATGAAGGACATGGCACTTATTTTACTTGCATTGTAATGATTCGTTTTCCTCATATATCACATGAAAACAAAACCTATAACTCCAGTTGGGAATTTAGTTAACAAATGAATTCTTAGATGGTGTTGCCCCCTGACTCACTGTAGTGACAACAAAATCATTGTGACACACCCTACACACTCCTATTTACCGTATTATGTTCTGATTTTTTTTAGCAGTTTAATATGTTTTACCAGTCTGATATTATAATATTCTTGCAAGTTAGGTATTTATTTTGTTATGTGTTTTTATATCATCTACTCTATTATGGTTTTATTCTTCTTAAGGGTAAAGAAATTCTTAAATATTTGATGGAACCGAAAAGATTAAATTGGGTTGCTATGCAGCAGATTGCTCACATAAACAGACATCAAATGTGTCTTTTTCATACAAAAATTAATAAAAGGAAGCAGAAGAGTAAACAGAACATATCAAAAAGCACCAAGTAGGTCTGTGTCTGATACTCATGAGGTACTAAATATGTTAGCATCTCTTTCTCTATACAAATTTATAAGATAATCCTAAAATTTAATAAGTTGAAAGGTGATCTCTAATTGTGGTAAAATACATTATGCTCATAAAATTATCACATTCCACGTCAGACATATTCTTGTTACGCTAATTATAATAACATTAAAAAGTATTGTGATTATGCCTACATATCCTGCTAGACTCTATTCATCTGTGGTTGGTCAGTACGTGGTATTATATGGTTCATAGCCTAAGGACCCAACACACTGTAAGTTTTTAGTAAACATTTCTTGAATAAATAATTAAACAAAAAATCATGTGAATTCATGTGAATCATGAATTCCTAGAGAAGTCTGACTGAGAAATAAAATTATGCTGAACTTAATAGTCTGATATTTTACCTAATTCTATTTTTTACAAAGCATAAGAATGCATGTAAATATGCAATTTTATGATGCATATAAATGCTTAAAATTTCAGAATCTACAAAACTTAGAAAATTATTGCCAAACAGTGAGAATTGATATATTCTCATAATCTGTGTATTAATTTAAAAATTCTATTGACAAGATTTTAAATTGTGACAATAAAACATGGCCTCATAATACTTCTCGTATTTATAAATCTTTGTTTTCATCCTATGTGTTGTAAATATAGAAAAAGAATAAACGAAAAAAATTGAGAACAAGAAAATATGTATCTCTAAAACTCTGATTAATGTTCTCTTCCAGCTTCAATAATTATTTTTTAAATCCTGAAAATGAATTGGAAAAGATTGCCTGAAAAGTGAAGACACTAATTTCATATATATATTTATTTATATTTACATTTATATTTGGATTATAGTTAAAGTAAAACAACAGATTTTGGGTAATGCTAACCACCATCTTGATATAATGAATGTTTACCTAACTATTGTTGTACAATGAAAACCATTTGAATCAATTACTATAGTAGGAATTCGCAAATTAATTACAGACTGGAAAAAAAAATAGTACCAAGGATTTCACTTTACACTCAACACTGAAAAAAGGGCAGAAAGATGCAGTTTACTTTGTTTATGAACTAAAATTACAGTAGACAATTTTCTAATTAAGTACAAATGTAAATTGGGTAATGTGGGAATTAAAGGTGGTCATATTTTTATATCTTAAAGGTTGAAAATACAACACATGATTTAGGAGATGCTATGGGAAGGTTTACCATTAAGTTAGCACAGAGAAAAAATTACATGATACCTATTTTTTCAGTTGATGCAAATTATCTATTTCTGGATCAAGCAAAGCATATTGTTTGGGAACAGGAAAGTCATTTTTGTTCACACATTTAAGATATTATACTTGTCACTTACAGTCTCTAGAGATACTTGCAAAGGAAAAAATGTGCTTCATGATAGGTTGTAAGGAGATAAATGACTAAAAAGTGTTGTTGAAATAACACTGTCATTGTGAATTAATTCTGACAAGTATAATAATGCTTAGATTATATATCAGCAAGTATGACTGTTTTAATAGTTAAAATAAGCTGGAATAGGACTGTGGTAATATCAACAAGTTCCAGGCAATTCAGTAGATAATGCATTGATTGCAAGTAGAAATATTTTTTAAAATGTTGAAATATTTGAAAAATCTAGTTGAGCTGCTGAAACATAGCTGGAGAATATGGTGTAAATAATGTTTATGTCATATGTTAAAAATTGAGATAGCTTTATGTACATGTGATATATTAAGGAGAAATATTCAATTACAGGTTAAAAAATTTAATTACATTTTTCTGAAAAACATGATGGAATCCAAGATATTTCGTGTCAGTAACATAGCATATTTACCAAATGATACTTTCCATATTTTCATTAAGACCAGATTAATCCATGGAAAAACAGATAAAATAGTAGGCATTAGTGCTGTTTGCTGGTTAAACTTCATTTCCCCACTTGTAGGCATATGTTGATTTGCTCCTCCTTGCTCCCTGGAGTGAGTTACCTGTGATCATGTGACTTGCTATGTTTTGATCAATGAAATATGAGTAGAAGTATTATATGTCACTTCTGGGTGGAAATTTAAGATCTGTTGTACAATCTAAGACATTCTTCTCTTTCCCGCTGAGACTGCAACATAACAGAGGAGGATTGTTCCACCAGTCTGAGTCTTAGAGTGAGGGAGCCTGGAGAAGCGTTGCTTGCTGAACAGCAATAGATACATAGCACAAGCAAGAAATCAATATTTGATGTTATGAGTCACTTCTAATATTTGGGAATTGTTGTTTCTCCAGTGCCATCTAGCTTACTCTGACTGATAATGGATATAGTTTATTCTGTGCTATGGGTGAGGTTTGGATACAGTATAGTGGTAAAGGGTGTTAAAATCTGAAATCAAGACTGCTTATATTTACATTCTAGTTATGTCACCATTTGTTTGACATGAACAGCCTTAAGAATTTCATGTTACCTTTCTAGGTCATAATTTACTCCTCTATAATCTCTTTTTTTTTTTTTTTTGAGGTGCAGTCTTGCCTCCAGGCTGGAGTGCAGTGGCATGATCTAGGCTCACTGTAACCTCAGTCTCCCAGGTTCAACAGAGTCTCCTACCTCCGCCTCCAGAATAGTTGGGATTAGAGGCGCCTGGAACCACGCCTGGCTAATTTTCGTATTTTTAGTAGAGACAAGTTTTCACCACGTTGGCCAGGCCGGTCTCGAACTCCTAATCTCGAGTGATACACCCACCTCAGCCTCCCAAAGTGTTGGGATTACAGGCATGGGCCACCGCACCCAGCCTCCTCCATAAATTGAGAATAATATTACAATCTTTCTTGAGTTTGCTGTTGTTTTTAAGATTACATAAGTCAATATACATAATAAAGCACTTAGAACATTGTCACAGCAGCACCTAATAAATATTAGTCATTATTCTCTTCGAGGACTTAAAATTAAAGTATCTTGTATTTGCTCATGCTTATAAAATTAGCATTATATCAATCATTATAATTATTAGTGTCACTCTTAATTGTAATTATAAAAATCAAAGGCAAAAAGTTATCTTATTAAAATTTTAGTTTATTTTTTGAAAAGTGGCATACCAATGTGATGTATATGTGATATTTCCCTATTGAGCAGAATACTTGATTGCTAATAATACTAGTCATGTAATTGTGAGCAAGTTACTTAACTCCTCTATATTTCAGTTTTCTTTCTTGTAAAAGGAAATCATATAGAGTAATTACTTTATAGCTTTCGTGAGGATCAAAATATTTAAAATATGTAAAACTTTTAGAACAACCCCTGACATAGATTAAAAAAAAATGTTAGCCATTATTGAACTGTAGAGTGATTTAGAGAAGATAGAGTTCAATGATGCCTGGAGAAGTTATGAAATATATTGGGGTAGGGAGAAGCATATGGAACTTGGTTTTCTTTTCATACAAACAAGCTAAGCGAGAAGAAATAGCATTAGCGGTTCGGGCACTAAAGGTGCTGAGACTTGAGGGTAGAAATAACACAGTCTGTTTGTGGAAAAGCAGGAGAACAGAGAAATCAGGCTGCAAATATTGTATTCGGGTTTTCTTATGTGTTTTCTCTTATGGGAATTGTCATGTATTTCTGATACACACCAAGTAAAAGAAAATGGACTATAAAACAACACAGATTTTATAACTCATTAAATAAAACAACATCTGAAGTATTTTGAGAAAGGCAATTATATTCAATAAAATATGTAATGAAGTCTATAGTATAACTGAAAGAAAGACATAATAAAGAAGGAACATGATCCATTCCATTTAGCTGAATGTGTTATTATTCTATCAGGGCTAATTCTGCATAAATAGCAAATGAAAAAATAATTTTAAAAAATACCTCTAATTTAAAATATGATATATAAATTTAAATTATTGGCTCTTCTCTTTTTGTAGTATATTATGACACACATCCAGAAAAAAAACTGAATATTAGTTTTTTTCCTAGTTAAATCACTAAATTCTTTGTCCTTCAAAATTTCTGAGTTTGCTGAAAGTGAAAAAATGAAGGGAAACATAAAGATAATCATCAAGAAAAGCAATCTCTCCTATCTCTCACTTCAACTTGTTTTAAAACATTCAAAACACGGAAGAGAAACCAAAATAACTGTGGTCTCGATCAGATAAACATTTTCTATAAAGCATTTTCTTCACAATAATAGAGACATGAAAAATCCAAGACATGATTTACCATTCATGTCAATGGTGTATATCATGCTCAGAGTGAATGGTGGAGACAGAGCAGGTGGGGAAGAAGGAGTTATAGCAACTGATTTGTCTTCACGAGAAAGAAAACAGGTAACTTCTAATCTCTGTCAACAAGAAAATTAGTCCTGCAGGTCAATAGACTAATAGTATTTGGTAGAAGGAGGGTCCTTACATATGGAAATGTTAACAGCATGTCCCAGGTTAAGGACTTATTTGACTAAATGAACTTAGAATTTATGGATTTATGAGCATGGCACTCTGGAAAATGCCACAATGTTGGGATATAAAATAGAGATATTTCATGAATGAAACACTCTCTCTGCTGTGTGAGGTAATTCCAAAAAACTTCTCCTAAAGATCTGAGCTATGACTGTGGATCTCAAAGTGGATGTTCAATGTCGAATGAAAGACCTTGGAGAGCTGCCTTCCACACCCCAGACCTGTTCCTGCTTCATCTGAGTTCCTTAAGTGTCATGAATAATATGTTCCTTAAGTGAAATGAATAATAAGCCTTGATATTGGGGTAAGATATCTGATTGGTATGAGTCTAATTTGACAATGCGGTCTTTTGTATTAGCTCACCATTGATTTTTTTCATTAATAACCAACAATAAATTTCCAATGGATACATAGCATTCTACTAGGTATTTTTCAATTTTTTTTTTTTTTTTTGAGGCGGAGTCTCGCTCTGTCACCCAGGCTGGAGTGCAGTGGCGTCATCTCAGCTCACTGCAACCTCCGCTTCCGGGGTTCAAGCAATTCTCTGCCTCAGCCTCCCGAGTAGCTGGGATTGCAGGCTCAAGCCGCTCGCCCAGCTCATGTTTTGTATTTTAGTAGCGACGGGGTTTCACCGTTTTGCCCAGGCTGGTTGCAAACTCCTGAGCTCAGGCAATCCGCCCACCTCGGCCTCCCAAAGTGCTGGGATTACAGGCGTGAGCCACAACGCCGGCCTGATATTTTTCACTTTTTAAATCAATACAAATTGCTTACTTGTTTTCTAAAGTTTACCTTCCGATACAAAAGTAACAGGCTGGGGGCAGTGGCTCATGCCTGTAATCCCAGCACTTTGGGAGACTGAGGCAGGCAGATGTTTTGAGGCCAGTAGTTTGAGACCAGCCTAGGCAACATAGTGAGACCCCATCTCCAAAAAAAAAAAAAAAAAAAAAAAAAAAAATTAGCCTGGCACAGTGGCTCATGTTTGTAGTCCCAGCTACTCGGGAGGCTGAGGCAGGAGGATTGCTTGAGCCCAGGAGGTTGAGGCTGCAGTGAGCCATGATCGCACCACTGCACTCCAGCCTGGGTGATAGAACAAGAACCTCTTTCTCTCTCTCTCTTTCTGTCTCCGCCTCCTGTCTCTCTCCCTTTTAGAGTACATGTTTATTAGTATATTGCGTAAAGTTTTACTCATGTTGCATAGGCATTACTGAAATGGATCAGGTAGTTTTCAAGAGGTTAGTCATTACTTTTCAGGATCTTATTCTTAAAATTCATGTAGCTACAACCGAAAGGCTGTAAGATGATCACTATCTCAAAATGGATAACTCACAAAATAACGTTCTATAAAAATTGTACTAGAAATATAAATTGAACCCTAAATCTATATGAACACAATAACTTTTTAAGGAATATATGAACCACGAGGTAAACAAAATTAAAATCTGTGTAGCATATTTCTTGCCAAAGTTACTTGTTCTTTCAAGCTTACTGTTGTTATCTTTAGTGAAAATGTACACAGAAATTTCTTCTCAGGTCAGAAATCTTGCCAGCCTCATTAGGAAGAAAGTTTTCTGAAGAGCCTGAGCATGAAGGCATGAGGTTCATTCACTCTCCCCGACCATTATATTCAAAATTTATTAGCACATATACCTTCCAGGCTGTTCATCAAAGTTTCAGTTACTGCTTATTCTTCCTTACAGGGGTGAGGGAATACTTCCTTTAATATATATATATATATGAAAAATAATTTAAAAATTATATAATATATACATTTTATATATAATATATATTTAATTCTATATATCATACATATTTAATTAAATATATATAATTTTTTTAGGTAAGTTAAAAAATCTAAACTATATCTTAGAGGGAAGAAGCAATCTTTTTACCCCTGCTGCAATAATTGCTTTTCTCCATCAGGATAAAATTAGCATTCACCTGCCATTTTTATTTCTTCCCAAAGAATACTTATGCTACCTACATATTTTCTCCTCTGTATCAAGTTTCTTTCTTTTTTTTAACAAAGATAGCTTTTAAATGAGGAAACCCTCATTTCCCATAAAAGTGTGTGTGTGCCCATATATAACGTGACCACAAGTTTACAAATTAAGGAGGCAAACAGCTTTCAGATAGTAAGAAAGTAGCCAGAAAATATTTTATTATCATTTGAGACTTTTGTTCATCAATTTCTTGTATGTGTATCCCCATACAAAAATCAAAGAGGAAAATAGAAAAATAATTTTAAAAAAGGCTTCACACAAGAGAGGCAAGAGCACACCAATGCATAGATTCAAAAAGTACGATTTGGTGTAAGAGATAAAATAATATGCTTACATATTTTTTCTTCCCCCCATTTTATAGCCTATCATAATCTTCTCCATTATGCAAATTCAGATACCAAAAGATGTCATTTAAAAGACAGGATATTTCCCAGCTGGGCGTAGTGGCTCACACCTGTAATCCCAGCACTTTGGGAGACCGAGGTGGTGGGTGGATCGCTTGAGCTCACAAGTTTAAGACCAGCCTGGGCAACATGGTGAAACCCCATCTCTACAAAAAATACAAAAAAATGAGCTGAGTATGATGGTGTGTGCCTCTAGTCCCAGCTACTTGGAAGGCTGAGGTCAGAGGATGGCTTGAGCCCGAGAGGCAGACGTTGCAGGGTCAAGATCGCACCACTTGCACTGCAGCCTGGGAGAGAGAGCCAGAACTTGTCTCAAAAAAAACAAAACAAAACAAACAAACGAAAAAAAAATAGAAGACAGGATATTCTAACAACTCTTAATGCTTATTAACACCAAGAAAGAATAGCTTGTCTTTCCCCCAATGAGGGATATATACATCGATCTATTCATTGACATGTAGACTTGTTTCAAGTAAATATAGCAAATGAAACTGATGTGTTTGAAAATGAGTTAGTGTTACTGTTTGTTTTTCAAGGTGCCAGCATATAATATTGGTGATTACCTAAAAAATCACCAACAAGACAGAGATTTGTTTTAGAGAGAGTGATTATATATTAAAAATTGAAAATAGTATATAACTGTATTTGGAGAGTACTATAAGGAGAAGTAAGCTCAAAATACAACCTGAAAAGCATCTCCTTGTTAATTTGGACATTTCTACTTCTAGTTGCAAGTTAAATATGAAAAAGAAATTGCATTTTGTTTTATAAAGAAATAAATATTTAAAACAATATTAAATTTAGGTAACTAAGGAAAATGATACAATTTGGATAACTTCAGCAAGGAAGTTTTTATGTGTGTCACAATAAAATCATATGTATATCATATAGTAACATCTACATATAATAACATATTACTTTAGGGTCTTCATTAAAAAATCATTTAAAACATAGCTATATGTAATAAACTTAACAGACAATGATAAGTGCCTACATTCTAAAACTTGGTGATTCAAATTAAATTGTCAGAATGATTTAAAACATAAATAAAATATGTTCATAGTCATTGAAGTACCTAGCAAAAGGGTCCATGGCTTTCCTTCCATGCATTTCTCTATATTTGTATAAATAATTCTCACTCTTATAAAATAATTCCCTTAACTCATACATTTCACACCTTAGGCATAGTAGGTAGCATTCACATAGTAAGTGTTTACCATTGCAATTATCCCTAGTTCATAAAGAGTACTTGAAAATTCAAGCTTAGTAATATTATGTATACATAATACACAATTATATATGTGCATATGTAATCAATGCATACATCACATTTAATTCTGCTATTCTACAACCCACCAGCATTTTGGAATCAGGAAAACAAAACAAAACCCTGACTTTTGGTCTGGGGCATATGAGAACAATCTATGTCTTTGTCTTTTGTTAGAAAAGCTATATGAATTTGAGAAAGTTACTCGACTTCTTCAAATTTTAGTTTCTTTATTTGAAAGATGACGACAAGTTTGCTCAATCTTATATTTTGAATTAATAACTGTGAGAACATTTTGGACAAACATGCTGGCATAACAGCAGAAAATAATGTTCCTTTGATCAATAAATACTGATGTCTCTTGTCCCCCTTTTGGGAAATAATTATCAACCATAATTTTTTTACACGTTGGAATATAGCACAAAAATTACAACAGTTCTCACGCATTTTTCTAAAAACAAAAACAACATCCCCGTTAATCCCTATTTTAATTTCACTTTTAATGTAATCAAATAAATATTTATAAAACACTTTAAGAGTCTAATGGACAAATTATATAATGAACACTGTGAGAAAGTCTGAAAATATTTCCCCTTGAAAATAAAATTATTGATATGTAAACATGTTTACTGATGTATATTTAGAATTGATTCAATTACAAGGAAAGAATAAAAGGAGAAAGGAGGAGAAGGGAGGGATAAGGAAGGAAGGAAAGAAGGAAGGAAGGGAGGAAGGGAGGGAGGGAAGAAAAATAATGTTTTGCTGGTATTAAAAAGAAATCATAAAATTGTACCTAGTTAGGTGACCTTTTCTTGTCTGCAGTTAAAGCTTCTGCTAAATTGCTTTTGAGGAAAAAATGTACCTTTCTTTATTGACTTACTTCAGTTGCTAATACAAATTATTTTGTCTTGGTAGCCTGGTAAAAGATCTTCAATTGAATTCTTGCTTCTTCAAGATAATACAGTATTGACCATTCATGTAGATAAAAACCTTTATCAGGGGAGTGCTTTAATTTAAGGGGATGGAGTTTTGCATTATCTACATTTAAAGGTTTTAAGTATAAAATAAGACAATAAAAAGAAAGAGATAAGAATAGGATAAAGAAGGAACTCTAGAAAACTGTTAGAAAAACAAAAAATGTTTTTGTATTTTAGATCACGGAGGGTGTTTTAAGAGGCAAAATCAACAAGGGCAAATACACCATTTTGTGTAAATAAATATATTTATAGTTTTTATTTTAATACCATGTTTTGCACCCAGCATTTATGATTCATAATACATGTTACATAATGATTGAAATAATTTAATTAATTTTATAACATATTTATAAAGGTTACCACCATTAACCATGATTACTTCCTTGTCTGTTTGCCCAACAGGTAGAACTCTCAGTAAAACCTGCTTTCTTCTTCTTGGCTCTATGGCATTTCTATTGCCCTGAACCCTGACCACAACATTGAGCCATTCTTTTGGGCTGTCTATCTCTGTCACCTATCCTTGCAGTAAACTGCAACATTCATGAGTGCCTTGTAGCCACCGGGTCACTTGATAATTAAAGTGACCTGTTATGCAAAGGCAACAGACAGAGACACACAGAAATCAGGAAGCAATTCAAGTCCAGGCCACAGATATCCTTTTAGGATACATTCAGGAGACTCCCTTTAATATGAGGTTAATTTCCAATAAACCATCTTCAACTATTTAGGAATCTAAACAGGTGTTATATTTTCTGTAGTTAGAGTAAGACTCTTCATTATTTATTCTAATTAAAGACATACTGCTTTCATATTTTGGTCTTGATGCGAGGGAAAAAAGACTGTAGATAATTTTGTTCTTCAGTAGGAAATGTCCTACTAAGATGGAAGACACTAAAGGCATTGTTTTCAAACTGATCTAATCTACAAAGAATATGTGATGAAATTAAATTAAGACTATAACAAGGGAGACCAATGACATGGATGAGAAGAGTGAACAAAAATACTTAGTGCCAAGTGGAATATTACATTTTAGAATATTTACATATAGAAAGAATTTTTTAAACAAAATCTATTTTTGTTTTAAAAATACAATGAGAATAAAGCAGAAATATGTTAGTTGAATCTTAATTCATCAATATTTTATATGATTTTTGCAAATGCAAAAATTGTGAAGTAATTGAACTGAAAATTTTTCTATATTACATACTTAAAATATGAAATGATGAAAAAATTGATTTTACTCAATATTTTACATGTCACAGATTAGTGATGCATTTCTTATTGTCAGATAATGATTTAACCTAAGTTGAAATAAGTACTGGTTTAAATAAACCTTCAGTGCATGTAGGATTCCACAGGGCCTTGAAAAGAAGAAAACAAAAAGAAATGAATGAAATCAATAAAATAAAATGAAATTTTACTTAATATGAATATTTTAAATGTTCACACACTTTTAACAAACACAGACCAACATAAAACGGTTCTATTTATGATTTTCTCAATCAAAAATTGCTCTTAACATTTATAACAAATATATTAGTAATGCTTATAGGCTCCCAACTTCCAATTAAACATGCTCTATTACCAAACATGAGATTAAAGAGGGAAGATTAATTAGCAAATATTTTCATTCCCTTGGTTTTATAATTAGAGTACAAAAACAAGTTCTAATAAACTTTTTTTCTTTATGTATTCTTCCATCTTAAAGAAAACTGCAAGAAAATTAAATAATTAAGCACTACATAAGTCTCACGTGGCTGTCCTAGTATTTTTGCAACCCGTAGTCACCATCCAAAGTACTAAATAAACACAAAGTTTCAACAGAATTTTGCTAATCTGCAACAATTATTATCTTATTATTATATTTTAGTCTCTAAACTTTATTGCAATTTTAAGTAATAAGAAATACAAGACATTTCAAAATATGTCACCCTTTTTACAAAAAGAGACTTCATTTTGTGCTGGTAATATATATGAAAAGAAGTATAATTTGCAAGAAGCATAGAATATGATATCTGCTCCCAGGAATGTAAAAGTTTAGTTAGAGTGATATAAATGAATATATGAAAGGATGAGCCATACTACAAAGATGGTAAGTTATAATCAATAGGACAGATACATGTTAATATAGGAAACTGGCAACATTATATAGGACTGGTAACTGTAAAGGTAGGTTAAATAGAACTGATAACTGCTGAGGGAGTTCTACAGAAAGAGAAATCACTCCTTGTTTGCGTTGTCCAATCAAGGATATGAAATTGGAGCTTGGCTTAAAATACAGATATATTGTGGGGCAGAGGTATTCCAGATGAAATGGTTAAAAAGAAACCAAAATGAAACCTAAAAACTTAGAAAATGATTAACAGTTTGTAATGAATCAGTGTTGATGGAATAAAAGGTTTTAGTTTGAAAACAGTAGGTGTTCTAATTGCATAAATAGGGGAGGGTACAATTTTAGCAGCCATGGATGCTGGCTTGGGGAGTGTGGATTCTACCCTATATGCCTTATTGAGCCATTCAGTGTGTGTGTGTTTGTGTGTGTGTGTGTGTGTGTGTTTCAAATTAGAAATACAACACGACGTAAGCTGTGTGTTTGCATTTATTTTTTATTTTCGGCAAATTTATCTGTGTGTTATATAGATTAGAATGTGTAACATGACAAGACCAAAAGCAATATGAGGAAATCCTGAAGCACTCAGCAGGATTGAGAGTTGAATGTTCTTGGTAGTATGATTTTCCCTGTCACCATGCTTGTTCTGGTTCTGTGAACAGTGACCCATCACTCGAGTTCCAGCTCAAATGCAACATTGGCAGAACCATCTTCCCTGATGGCTCTTTTCTACACAGTAGCTCCTTCCCTTCACGTGGTTTCTCTTAATGTCATCTTTCTGTTTATCTCCTTTATGCCCTTAATACGGTGTGAAATTCTCTTTTTTACTTCTTTGGTTTTTAGTTTACTGCCTGTCTTCATTGACTAGAATATGAGGTTTATGAAGACAAAAAAACTTGTCTGGTTGTGTATGCTTGGTGTTCACTGCTACAATCTCAGTGTCTGGAATATCTCTTACTCTTTTTTTTTCTTTTACATAACTTTATAAATGAATAGAGGTAATAAAAGGAACACCAGGACTATAACTGTATGTTACACACAGATGCAGATACGTTATTACTAACCATTTTCTTTAAAAAAGGTCTGCAAAATCTTTAAGACTAAGAATTAAACATTAAGAAGATGCCTGCCATTCAGTATTTATTACACAAATACTAGTTGAGTGAATGTGAAAGACAGAGAGAATATATTTTATATGTTATATTATACATTTTAGAAATCTGGAATTCTGTTTTTCTGTGTATTTTAAGGTTCCCAACATTCATATACTTAATGAAAGTCTAACCCAGATCCACTTTTTAATTTTAAAATAGTAAAATGAAGGGAAAAATACCATAATAGCCTGAATATGTTCAGAGACACACATGTAATGAAAATATATGATACTAACATTTCTCTTTCCATAAAAGTTTTAATACTTTAGTATTTGTGATGTGAAGTGGACAAAAAAAACTTAATCCATCTGTGTCATTTTAAGCAAGTAGAACATGAAGACAACTGCAAGGAAATAGTAAAGTTCACCTAATGAGAACAAATGGCTTCCTGTGACTACATTGTAGTGAAAATAATAATTTGAAAGATTCTTTTTTATGATTTACCACTCTGGGGATATTATAAACTAGGAAAATCAGTTACAAAATAGGTTAATCTTCTTGGGCTTTAAGGTATAATGCATTCAATATATTGTCAAATTAGAAAGAAAAATTCTACAATATTTAACATTTATTTTTAATAATTACATTTTAGAAACAAAATTGTCATTAAATTCTGTTTCCACAAAATTTTCCAAGTTATTTTATTTTGTAAGAAAGTAGATTTGAATAGAAAGTAAATACATTGCGCAAATAATTTCATATTCATGTTAGCAGTGATGAGCTTTCTTTTTTAAATAATATATTTCTACTTTGAAAGTATATTTTATTATTATAAAAATACATATGTTCATTGCAAAAAGTGACAAAAAGAGATAAACAAAAATAAGGAAATAAAATGGTACATTCCTACAAACCAGAGATCATCACTATACCAAGCTTTCTGGATTCATTTGCACTTATTTTTTTTAACTAAAAAGAGAACCACATAGTACATTGTGTTTTTCACTTTACTTGCCTTTTTTTCCCCAGTAGTAACCTCTAAACTGTTCATGTAAATAAGTTTTCATTACATCTAATAGCAATCCTTGTTCAAATTTCTTCAGATGTCCCTCAAATACATGTTACTGCTGGACTTCCCAACCCAATTTAGTCCTGGCCATATATTACATCTTACTATAATGCCATTTAAATATTTTTGCATATTTTTAAGTTGGGAAACCATTCCCTTTATTGAGAAAACTTTTAAGATACAGAAAAACAGACTTGTAGTATTAACACCTGTGTAGCCTTCACCTCATATCTTAGTCCATTTTGCATTGCTCTAACACCTGAGACTGGGTAGTTTATTTATTTTTAAAAAAGGTTTATTTGGCTCAGGATTATGCAAGCTGTAAGATTGGGCATCTGGTGAAAGTCTCAACCTACTTCCACTTGTGGCAAAAATGGAAGGGGAGCCGGTACGTGCAGACAGGACACTCACTACCCGAGAGGAAGCAGGAGAGACAGCAGGGAGGTGACTGCTCTCTCAGGAACTCATAGAGTGAGAACTCACTCACCCCCAGGGTGGGCATTAATCTATTAATGAAAGATCTCTCTCATGATCCAAACACCCCCCATTCTCCCATTAAACCCCATCTCCAATTGGGAATCAAATTTCAGCATGAGAGTTGGAGGCAATGAACATTGAAATCATAGCACCTAGATTCAGTAATTAAGAGTTGCCATAGCTGCTTTTGGTCCTCTCTCCCTCTCTCTAGTTATTCATCATATATATATAATATATATACACACACACATATATACATATATATATGCATTTCATATGTCGTTATGTCTGTTTAGTTTCCTTAATCAAGACAGTCCCCTATTTTGTGTGTGTCTGTGTGTGTGCGTGTGTGTGTGTGATGGAGTTTCACTCTTGTTGCCCAGGCTGGACTGCAATGGCACAATCTAGGCTCACTGCAACCTCTGCCTCCCGGGTTCAAGCGATTCTCTTGCCTCAGTCTCCTGAGTTGCTGGGATTACAGGCATGTGCCACCATGTCCAGCTAATTTTGTATTATTAGTAGAGACAGGGTTTCTCCACGTTGGTCAGGCTGGTCTCGAACTCCCAACCTCACCTGATCCACCCGCCTTGGCCTCCCAAAGTGCTGGGATTACAGGCATGAGCCACCATGCCCAGCAGATAGTCCCCCAATTTTTAATAGCATCTTCTTTTTTAGGGATACCATGAGGTGTCTTGTAGAATACTGCCCATTTGGATTTTGTCTGATTTTTGATTCATGGTATTGTTTAACTTATCCACCTACTTCCTGTTTCCTGACTACTGAAAGTTAAGCCTATAAGCTTGAAAGGTTTATACTTTTTCAGGGGCAAAAGAAGAAAATATTCTTCAATTAGCAAATAATAAGTTCATGTTGACACTTTACATTTGAATATAACATTATCAGGTTCTTTCCTTTAACTTGTATTTTCATAGTTATGTTTATTTTCTCTTATCCTGAAATAACTTGGATGCTAGAAACATTAGATTTGGTTGTTAAATGTTATAACACACAAATAACGTCACAATTATTATAAAAATAGTAATATAATTTTGTTTCTGATTGAAGTTTTAGATGTTTTTTGCATTTGTCTTTGTCCTTATACTGTAACTCATTTGATAATGAGCCATTATCAAATAGCCTCCTATTGTTATTTGTGTTGTTTTTCTTCTTTAACTGTTACAAAAAATGATCATAAAGAAAACCTTATGAAAATATTATTTGGTACATATGAAAGTGTATGTTCAGGTTAAACTTCTAGAGATACCATTGCTAGGTGTAGGATAAGACTTTAATTATATTAGAGTTTTCAAAATTCTCTTCTAAAGGATATGTGCCATTGTTATTATTTAGTAGGAGAAAATTTAAAACAAAATGTAAAAAATGTTTAAAATATTCACGTGATTGAATGATATTCAGTCCTTTAAATTATGAATAGTAAAATGCATTCATTAACATTACAGTAAAATAATATTCATCTATTTGACATGTCAAAAACATATATGAAGACATGTATATGTACTTGTAATATATTTATACATAATCCAGCATTTATATGATTATTTTAACATACTAAAACCAAAGTGGAGAAAAAAAAAAACTTCCAAAAGTATAGAAAATAATACACTCACACCAAGTATTTTTTTACATTTTTATGAATTACATAAATTCTTTTTAGTTTTGTACTTTTATGACATATAATTGTGTCATATTACTGATACTCCTGCAAAGAAAAGTTAATCTTTTCAGACTCAATTAGGGTCTGTAGCATCTTTTTCATAAATTAAAAAAAAAAAACACTTCATCCTGGCACGGTGGCTCACGCCTGTAATCCCAGCACTTGGGGAGGCCGAGGTGGGCGGATCATGAGGTCAGGAGATTGAGACCATCCTGGCTAACACGGTGAAACCCCGTCTCTACTAAAAATACAAAAAATTAGCCGGGCGTGGTGGCGGGCGCCTGTAGTCCCAGCTACTCAGGAGGCTGAGGCAGGAGAATGCGGTGAACCCGGGAGGTGGAGATTGCAGTGAGCCGAGACCGCGCCTCCGCACTCCAGCCTCGGCGACAGAGCGAGACTCCGTCTCAAAAAAAAAAATAAAATAAAATCACACACACACACACACACACACACACACACACACACACACACACACACACTTCTAGGTAACATTTTTGGAACAACATTGTTTCTTTCTTTCTTTTCTTTTCTTTCTTTCTTTTCTTCTTTCCTTCGTTCCTTCCTTCTCTTTCTTTCTTTCTTTCTTTCTTTCTTTCTTTCTTTCTTTCTTTCTTTCTTTCTTTCTTTCTCTTTCTTTCTTTCTTTCTTTCTTTCTTTCTTTCTTTCTTTCTTTCTTTCTTTCTTTCTTTCTTTCTTTCTTTCTCCTTCTTTCTCCTTCCTTCTTTCTTTCCTTCCTTCCTTTCTTGAGACGGAACAACATTGTTTCTTTTTTTTTTTTTTTTTGGAGACGGAGTCTTGCTCTGTCACCCAGCCTGGAGTACAGTGGCACAATCTCGGCTCACTGCAACCTCTGCCTCTCGGGTTCAAGCGATTCTCCTGCCTTAGCCTCTTGAGTAGCTGGAATTACAGTTGTCCGCAACAACGCCAGGCTAATTTTTATAATTTTAGTAGAGAAGGGATTTCACCATGTTAGCCAGGCTGGTCTCGAACTCCTGACCTCGGGTGATTCGCCCGCCTGGGCCACCAAAGTGCTGCAATTAAAGGTGTGAGGCACCGCGCTGGGCTCTAAGTGTTTCTTATAACCCCCAAAACTTAAAAACATAATACTTTTCATTCTATATTAGCACTTTCTTTGGCTTATGAATAATTCATTCATATTTAGGGTATACTTTTCCAATACAACAAAATGCTAAACCTGTTTAAGTACTTTTCTCTCAGAAAGTTACTCTATATTAGACCACACTTTAAATAAATGTCCTCTAATGTGATAGTTTAAATTCAAATCTATAAAGCCATTTATAAACAGAGAACTCATAAAATAATGGCAAACCTGAAATAATTCTGGTATGTATAGAACTTTGATGCTTTCAGTACTCTGAAATGCAAATTACATTCTTTTTGGTATAAATTTTCTCTATAATAGATCAACTTTATAAATTTAAAATTCTAATTACCATCTTAACAATGTGGCATGAAAAAAGAGTAAAATTTCCTGGTATTCTTATTTTACAGAGCATAAGGTTAATGATACATGTGGCTTTCTTTTAGGAAACTTTCTAATATAATATTCTGAAAATCCATGTTCTTTTGTTGGCTTGTTATTAAGCCAAACATTTATGGAATATTTTCCCTTTAGCTCTCTATGGCTTTTTATAAGTTAAAAATCCCTTTACAGTTTTATTTTGAAACACTATTAATGTAAACATTTCAATGACTTTTTTCCTCTCAAATCAATATCAGTTATTTCACTGGCAAAAGGTAGAAGCTAGCTATTCTCAAATCCCAAAGCATTAATCAAGTAGCTGAAAAACATTTTGATGGACAAAGACCACACTGAGGACCAATGCTCTTGGTACATATTATCCCTTTTTGTGCATCTAAATCAAGTACAAGTAGAGTTGTCAAAGGGAATAGCAGATCTCATGAGAAAACTGAGGGAAAAATTAGGTAACTTAATGAAATCTGATTGCCTAGTGAAACAAAAGCTCTACCATGACAAAACAGAAAAGCCATGAGCTAGTGTACTGTGAAAAACAAAATACCATCTTCTATGTTACGGAAAAAATTGTTATCACTATTTCATTAGAAGGTATATGGGTTTATGATTTCTGCGATTAAAAAATTAGTGTTTCTGAGAGTTAATTTGAATACCACCTTAAAAAGAAATCATCTTTATATTAATATGTACCAAGTATAATAAAATGGACAGCAAATATTCCTAGCTAATAGTTATATAAATTCAATTTAATCATATTAAAATTCAAATAAGCATTTTAAACATTGTGTTAATGTAAGAGATGATTCCCAGTAATTCTTATTATATACACAGAAAAATTAAAGAATGCATCTAATTCTAACTTCTATAATAGGAATAATACATCAAATAAAAGCAAACTTTTTGTACCTATGTCTTATTTGTGTGTGTGTGTGTATATATGTGCATGTGTGTGTGTATTAATAGACGATGTTTTGGTGTGTATGTACAGATATATATTTCAATGACATATTTCAAGGAGATACATCTATTTCAAGGATATAATATATATTCCAAGAATATATATATTTCAAATATATGTCAAAGATATATATATATATATTTCAAGGATATTTATGTGTGTATGTCAATATATATGTACATATATGTATCATGTATGTATATATATGTCATGTGTATATATATATATATATATATATATATATAAAATAAGGATAAATTTCCTTTTGCAAATTTTTCCTGATTGTAGACCACATCAAAGGAAAGCAATGTTTTTGATAGAAATAAATTAATATAAGTCCACAAAAATTTACTTTAAACAAGTACCTGAACTAAGTCATAGAACTTAGCTTCATACAGATTATAATAATTAGCTGCAATTGATTGATGCTTTGTAAACAGATAATGAGAGATACTTCAAGCTTATACTTGGTGTTTCCTTCCAAAGGGTGGTAAAAATTCTTTCTGTAAGGACTTTTTTTTTCTTTTCCTTTTTCTTTTTTTTGAGACAGAGTCTCTCTCTGTCTCCCAGGCTGGAGTGCAGTGGCACGATCTCGGCTCACTGCAAGCTACGCCTCCCTGGTTTTACACCATTCTCCTGCCTCAGTCTCTGAGTAGCAAGTAGCTGGGACTACAGGCGTGCACCACCTACGCCTGGCTAATTTTTTTTTTAAATTTTTAGTAGAGATGGGGTTTCACCGTGTTAGCCAGGATGGCCTCGATCTCCTGACCTCGTGATCCGCCTGCCTCAGCCTCCCAAAGTGCTGGGATTACAGGCGTGAGCCACCCTGCCCAGCCAGGACTTCTTATTATATAATCTCACTTAGTACACTAGATACTCTAAGAGACTCCTAAGGCAGTCTAGGAAAAATATTAGAAAAATTTGAAATTAAATTTAGATTTCCTATAAAGGTAGCAATCTATGAGTTGGAAGTAGAAGTGGACAGAGAGAAATTTTCCATTCAACAAATATGTATTTTTCTTCTCTTTTATCAACACTACCACAACATAATTTTCAGCAAATATGATATCTATTATTACTATTTTAAACTATATAAAACCTCCTGCGTGTGTACTCTTTTCAATTTTTTTAAGTTAACATTATTTTTAACTGACAAATTGTATACATTTATGGCATACAATGTGATATTTTGATATTGATATATGTATACAATGTGGAATGATTAAATCAAACAAATTAACACATCAACCATCCCATTACTTATCTTTTTTTGTAGTGAGACATTTGAAATTTAGTTATTTTGAAATACATAATACATTATCATTAATTATAGTCACCCTGCTGTACAGCAGATCTCAAAATTTATTTCATCTGCAACTCAAGCTTTATAACCTTGGACCAGCAACAACTCATTCTCTCCCCATCCTCGTGTGCTGTTTCATCTTAATGAATATTTTTATAATTATAAGAACTTTCATAGATGACATCTAGCCTTGCTGTTTTCCTCATAACGATCTCAACCACACATTCTCTTAACAAAAGGGCTTTTGGTTCACTGATACTAATTCTATGTAGTCACTGCAGAATTAAAGACCTGGTGGCAGTCCAGGGGGATCTGGCTCCTAAGCAAAGATTCAAGATTTTAAAAAGAATCATTCAGTGCCACACTATAAAAACAACTGCATGTTGGCACTTATGTTTAGACATTACTAGTTGTCTATGCTGATTTGAGTTTAATACTTCATTCTAAAAGGCATAACGCAGTAATTTTTAAATACTTGTTGGATATAAAAAAGTACTATAGAAAATAATATAGTATATAGCAATATCCATACCTGTATGTTTTGTGAATGAAACAATGCATATTAATTTGTTATAAATTTTTAGAATTATAAAAAATTAGTGGCTTTTAGTTAATTTTTTTTCACCAAGTAATCATTGAGTGCTTTCTAAATTTGTTTAGTTTCACCAGCACACCTCTGATAAATCGGATACGCTGATATACAATGAGGTCTAATTATACATTTAAAGCATATAAATCCAACTCTGCTCTGGAAGAAGAATAGTGTTCAGGGAAAAAAGAGGGTAGGGTGAATGCAAGCAACAAACAGAAAGAGGAGAAGCAAATGTAATTAATACTGTGTGGTTGATTTTACGCAGATTTCTTCTCAGTGCTTATGCTAGATGAATATGATATAGAAGTTGCGTCGGCTGTTCCCTCAGGTAGACCGTATTCCTCTAGTGTGAGTCTCTTGATGTACTGAGCCTGAATCTAGATTTTATAATCTAGAATATAATTTTTATACTACATGATGTGTAAATGAAGCTATTCTTATCTAGGGCTCCAGCAATGACAAAGTGCTTAGTTCTTACTGACTGAAGGGACGTCAAGGAATTTTCAAGAAGCACATCACAAAGGAATTTTTGATTAAACACGATTTTCACCTCACCTTCTTTAAGTCTCAAATCTCAAACTCAGACCTCCCTAGATCACCCTATTTAAAATTTCTGATCATAGTCTTGACCCTCCCACTATACACTTAGAATTATTCTTTCTCTGTGCTATTTTTATTTTTCACATTGCTTTCAGCACCTTCAAATGCATTATATAATTTGCTTATTTACTTAGCTTATTGATTTTTAAGTATGCCCTCACCAGTTGCAAGCTCCATGCAGGAATATTTTTTGTTTGGTTAAAGGATATATTCCAAGGACCTAGAATGGAGCTGGCTGCTAGAGGGGACTTAGTCATATTTGTTGAATGAAAGCATGAATAAATTTTCAAAAGTGATGCCCTTAGAACATTACCACTGGATAAGATGTGACTCCATTACATGTTAATAAGCACCCGTGGCAGATAATCATGTTTTTAAACATGATAGATGTTTTTAAACAATGTTCTTATCTAAAAGTTATCTTTAATGTAATGGGAAAAATTATAGCCCATAAGCAAACCTGGAATATATAACTCAATTTTTAAAACTAAATGTTTTTTAATTTGTAAAAATAAACAGAAATATTTGAGATAAGTAAATATAAATACATGAAGCATGTGCGGGGGAGTCACTTTTTTCTAATAAATGCCAGAGCACATTCATACATGATCAGGAGAAGTACTGAATTTAAGAAGATAGAAGTAATAAATAAGAGCAAAACAGAAACTTTAATAAACTACAGTATATTAGCAGCATGATGAGAAAGCCTAATTGATAGTTATTCAATTCTTAGAACAGGGCTTAATCCACAGGCAGACATAATACATTAGCACAAGCACAAAAAACACTTCTGCTCTATCTAATAAAACAATTACAGTAAAAACTAATCATTCTTATTCCTAACATGAATACAGCATGATGAACTATTTTCATATTTTTTAGGACTATCTGCAAACTGCGCCAGGAGCACCACCAAAATTAAATCTGAGAAAAGTACCAGAGATTGTGAAATACACAGATAATTGCATTGAAAAGTTTTTCAAAGTGTACATCCATAATGCAAATAATATTATTTTCCTCATGTGTAAGTAGAAAACTGTATTTATAAAGCAAATCCCACCATTTGGAAAGTGTGTTAAAATATTTGAAAAAATAAACAGTGGTATGAGCATCCATTAACAAACTGATTTATGCTTTATTCATACATGAATGAGACAAAATACGTGATGCCACAGTTCAGTCCATTTTAAGAAGCCAAATTGAAACCCCTAATGATATTTAAACTAACAGTAATTAATAATAATTTAATATTTAATGAAATACCTGATAACATCAGAAGTCTTAAAGAAAACACTGCCAAGTTCAAGACTAAAAATGGCTTCTTATTAAATGTTAGTGTAAAACACATGCTAATGAAGGAAGAAACTGCTTTACTTAAAACTTTAGTGCATTTGTGGCTCAGAGAAATTTTTAAATCCTCTGACTATTCTGTGTCAATTTCAGGCATTATCTGAAAAGAAAACTTGAACTTAAAGTCAATCAACCTGTCACATTTTCAAAAACAATCTTCTTCAGGACATAAGCTGTCCATAAAGATGTCAAATTAATGAAAGTATCTGAATTTCTCACTGTCAGAATATAAGATCTTTAGAATATTTTGATTATGCATTCTCAAATATTGTAATCAAAATGCTATTTGTAGTAGTTCAAGCTATAAAATATTTACAGACAGCATATATACTACATTGAAACATCTGTTTATACATTTGATGTAATTAGATAAAAAACTTCCCTACCCCTCAATGTAATCTTGAAATGGGCAGCAATGCTACTTAACTACATCTATTCATCTTCTATCCTGTTTTAATAACACAGTGACACCTAAGAAATTATTCTTTGATCTTTCAATAAACTAAGCCTGTGCAGACAGAGGAACGTGGAAGAGGTTAAATTGGCATTGATTATTTAAGACACATTCATCATTTATTTAACAATCTCCCTCATCACAAAAACTATGGTGTTTATAGGCCTGTGCTGAGACACTCTGAATTTTTTTTTTAAGTCTTGCCATGTGCGTTAGAAGTCAGAGCACATTGTAAACTAACATTAGTTTCATGTCTCCTGACAAATCTGGTGCAGGATAAAAGTAGTTTATTGTACAAATCTTTAAACTTATTCATGGCAGTGAATTTTTAATAGATTTTATTATAATTAATGTTTTCTGGGAATTCTATTTCTTATCTTAAGCAAAATGTGTAGCAACAGCTATTTTCCCAAGGAAATTATATTAATGATGACATGTAGTATCATATATTCTGATACTCATACCAATAAAACATGATCCATAATAATCTGTAAAGAACAATTTGTGGCTAATGTTGGCAGCTTTAAGAAGAAAACAAAAGAGTATAAGAAACATCCATAATGTACAAGATTTCCACGAGATGTTTCTTGTTTTTGAATAAACACAATTTGCAAGTTATAAATAGATACATGTGTTTATAAAATATTTTTGAAAGTTAAAATAAGGTGAAACTATATTTCCTGAGGGTGAAACAGAACAAAATACTATAAATTGAAGAATAAATGATTATTATTGCATATAAAATATTAAAAAATATTTACAAATAAATATTGAAAATATATCCTGGTCATGGGAGAAATTGTACAGTTTATGAATCATATATTTCCAGTTATGTAGTTTATGATACTGAAAGTGTTTTACTTATTTTTGATTTGTTTAAGTATTTCCATCCCCAGTTTTTCACATGCAAGATGCCCTAAAGTTTAGTATTACAGTTACATCTAGTTACTTTCATAAGTTTTTACATGCATATTTTAGAAATTTAATTTGCTCATATGAAGGGGATTCTTTAGGGACTCATTGTCAAAAAAAGTATTATTCTTTAACCTTAATTCAATACAGTAAGATGCATTAAACTATCACTGTAACATACGAAACAAGCTAGGAACATTGAAGATTTAATGAGGATTAACAATTACCATGGCTTCATTTTACATTTTTATTTTCATGCTTAGAGAACTAAATGACATTGATATAAGAAATATCATAGAAATTAGAAAATTATGAGGCATGGATAGGCAAATACGTAAGAGGCTGCTGGTAACTATGGTGTTAGAATAACTATCCACAGATAAGTCATTTCCCCAGAGGTGTCGTTCATTCCTCAGTAACCAATTCTCACAAGCAATCACTAATAGTGTCACATAAAATTGATGGTATTACATAAAAGTCTTACATTTTATATTTATATTGTCATTTAAAAAGTTAGAATTCTGTCTCCCAAACATTGTTTCTTTAAATAAAATTGAAAATTTGAATCCAAATGTATATTTGTTTTCTCTTTTCCAAGCACATTACCTTAAATAAAAGACTAGACTCCCAACAAACGTCATGTAGTAGTAAAAAAGTGACTTCATTTTTCTGAAATTCAGTTAACTTATTTAAAAATTTGGGGGCTTGAAGTAAGTGGATTCTAATTTAACTTGTAGTCCCTGTGTTGTATGATGTTATATTAGAATAAGATTTAATGAAAATTATGATTTTATTACTCATATTGAACAAACTCTCTGTCTTGCAGATTTATAGATACAAAGGTTGTTATTTGTAAAACACATATTGGGTTTATATCCTAAGGACTAGCATATAAATATTTTCATTAAAAAATTTTTAGGCAGGGGGTGGTGGCTCACGCCTGTAATCCCAGAACTTTTGGAGGCTAAGGCGCGTGGATCATTTGAGGTAAGGAGTTCGAGACTAACCTGACCAACATGATGAAACCCTGTCTCTACTACAAATACAAACAGTAGCCGGCAGTGATGACGGGTGCTTGCAATCCCAGTTACCTGGGATGGTGAGGCAGGAGAATCACTTGAACCCAGGAGGCGGAGGTTGCAGTGAGCCGAGATCGCGCCAGTGCACTCCAGCCTGGGCAACAGAGTGAGACTCCATCTCAAATAACAAACAAACAAACAACAACAACAAAAAACCAAGTTTTTAGACAGGAAAAAAATCCCTCACAAAAGACCAATATTGAACTACTTGTGGTAAATACTCTTTAAGGACCATAAAATTATTTCTTTTTAAAAATAGATGTCAACATAATTTAAGTAACATACAACACTGCTAGAAGCATTTCAGTTACAAAATTGAGATCTAGAATTTAGATATCTAGAGTAAATATACCTTAAAATAAACATAATTGAATAATTTTTAATTCATATTTTTTAGTGTTGTTTTTAATTAAGAAAATAAGGTATATAAACACTTGAAAACAATTTGTGCAGTGATTCAAAGCTTTGGTTTATTTCCTAAAAGAAAAGTAGTTTTATATTAAATTAATGTAATTTGCACGGCAACACAAAAGTAGCATCCAAGTTTGTTATTTAACATAATGAGACCATGCAGATAAACATATAATTTATCATTATTCATCATCATAAAACTTAAAATTATTTCTATTTTATTTCTACTTATCAGCAAAGTGCTAAAAATAAGAATAAATGTTTTTAAATAGAAGAGGGGGTCCTCATACATGTTAGCTACAAGATCAAATTAATTCCTTTATTTTTTCATCAAGAGGAAGTTGAAAGTCATGAACTTAGGCAAAATGCAAATTTCTTAGCTGTGTTTAAGAAAAAAATGAGCATTTATATCAATGTTTTCCCAAATCATCCAGTGTTACTAGATGTAATACTGTATTAAAACATGTTTTACAATCCTATTTTGACAGTTCAACAAGTATTTCGCACTAACAGAAAAATACTTTCAATTAAATTACTTTCTGCTGCCTGCACTGAAGCCCAAGAGCTAAAACATTATTTTAAATTTTTCTTCAAAGTTGTTTTTGCCTTTAAGTGTCTGCATATAAAAATGATGTGCTTCACCTTTGGTGATTACAAACATAGTAACTTTATTAAACTGTTAATAAATAAATATTTTCTTAAAAAATAAATTGCCCTAGTCTTCTAATGCATATCTTCTACATGTCTGCAAATACACTAATTCAAAAGACTGTACCAAAATTGTTGATGTAAAAAAATTAATAAGGCATTGGTATGCCAGTTGGTGCCTGTAATCATCTTTTTTAGTTCCAGGAGGTATTTGGGGATTGTTTAAGAGCAAAAGATGAATGGTGCACCGCTAAATCCTGTTAAATCAATGCATGGACACAGCAGCCGCAGAGGTCAATAAGCTGTGGAGGTCTGAATGCCAATAATGAAGTTAAAAATGGTTTTACAGAGCTACTTACATCATAGCATAGTAGTTCAGTCTGTGTGGATTTATCTACTCTTGAAGCAAAAGCCTTCTGTAAATGCCGGACTTTTCCCTGCAAAATGAAAAAACAGCAACAACACATTGTTGGTGAGGTGTGTACTTCTACACTAATATTCTCCACTTATTAAAATTTGATTAGTGTATAATTCATGTTCTTCTCTGTGCATATGCTTTGCTGTGTTAGTGCTCTTAAAATAAGCTTAAATATTTAGAGCTTTAATTTTTAGGTCACAACTGTCCCACCTTAAGCATCTTTTCTTCTACTGTAGGCGTCACTGAGTCAGAACCACAGTTCAACAGTAGAGTCATAATGTGCTTAAATCCAAGACCAAATGTCTATGCTTTGTTTCCTGTTATCTTTTTAAATAACTTAGTTGCTATTATTTTGCTGATCCAGTTTCAGAACACTTACATTTGAAATAAAAAATATTCTTAATAAAAGACCCAATGGATTCTATTCAGTTTGTTTTAATTTTGTCATGCTTCTTCTTTCCAAAAACCTCTACACATTTAGGAATGTTTACCTTAAGAGACTGACACAAATCCGACCCTGTGATAACTAGGGAAGGGAAGTAATACACGAACTAGGTTGGGATTTCATATTTCAAATGCGAAACTACGATTTCTGAGTAAACTAATCTGACTGTGCTTTTTTCTGGGACCTTCCCTTCTCATTCCTAAATGTGTCACTTAAAATGAGATCTTGAGTTTAATTATTATGTAATGTATTTACTAAATGCCTCTCACAGCTGAGAGTGTTGTACTCACTTGATCACATTTTATCTTCAAATATGTACTGTAAATACCACTCATGTTAAATAAAAACAATACAATTTAGGAAGTTTAAGTAACTTGAGACAGTTTTCAAAGAAATTCATGGGATTCCATGAGACTGTGCTTTCCACTTGCTTTAAAGCAGAATGTCTATCATTTTCTTTTCTTTTGAATGGTTAATAAGATAGTTATATAATACCCAAACGATAAAGGACTGTGATTTAATTCTTCCTTTCCCAGGATTGACAATGGTTATCAAGAACCTCACTCTCAAGAATTCCAGTTACACAAAACTCTTCCATCCTCACCTCCCTTCCTTTCCTGTTCCTTCCCCTTCCCTCTTCTCCTTTTCCCCTCCCTCCCTATTCCCTCACACTTTCCTTCATTGCTGCTTGGTATTTTCAAGATTATCTGAGATGTTTATCAAAGTACGTACATAATTTAGGTAAATATAATTTAGTTTAACTTACTGAAATATAGAAAAGAAATATTTTATGTTCTATTAAAGTCTCATCACTTCTGACTTCCCTAATCACAAAACATCTAGTGCTGCTAGTCAGAGAAAAATTAGATGCAGATTAGATCATGCAGGAAGATGTTACATGAGTGAGGTAGAAGTTTTTAATTATTTGAAAAAGATAAGTAAAAATGTGGCTGCATTTTCCAAACTAAATTTCAAATGAGAAAAAAATGTATTTATCTAGACATATTGATTGGGATGAAGAAAAGAACAGGGAGAGGTAGTAATAGGTAAAGGAGCAATAACATTGTCCATCATTGAAAGGTTATTTACAAAAGTTTGATTATCTACTTTTGAGATAGATTAGAATCATAAGTACATGAAAAGTAAATTTTGTTGCAAATCGGTAATTATATAAACTTTTTTGTATGAATTAGAGTCTATGCACTCATGTATAGAGCAGGGGAAAATAGCTGCCAAATGCTTCCATTATGCCACAGCTCACATTTCTATTTCAAGGGCTTTCATCCTGAGGATAGGAGTTGGAAATTGTTGGTAACTTCTGGATTACTGCTCTGAGTTATAAGACTTAGAAAATTCAAATAATGATAAATAAAATTCCAAACAACTTTATTAACCAATATACTAACCAAAACAAGAACAAACAAACAAATAAAAACTTTAAATAAGGAACAGTTATCTTTGGAACTTAAATAAAACACAGACATTTCAAGGGATGTCATTGTTACTCCCTCTTGTAGGCATTAATCACAACAAATGATGTGTTTGAATTATTTATTATGGTATTACGTATGCACGTGTGCCATATTCAGATGTAGAGAATAAAATCTAAGTTTCCTATAGACTTAGGTACAATAATTAAGAATTAAATATTTTTAGCTTAATAGAAGGCCGTAAACATATGAAAGTTTATGACAAATGTCTATCACATACACTTAGAAGATTAAAGAAAGAATACATAGCTTTCAGGAGATGATTCTTGATGGAGCTCTTGTATTTCTAAATGGTAGATGGAAATTTATAAATTGATAAATTTAATATGTACAAAAAGAGTTTTATAGATAATTAAACAGAAAATGTACCACAAAAGTAGCTATTACTAGAGGGTAGAATTGCAGATAATTTTGATTTCTTATACAATAAATCTATCTATATTAATTTCATAAATATATATATTTTATCAGAGATATAGAAACAAAGTATCATCATGTATTTTCAGTTTCACATTGATTTGATATAATGATTAAAGTCTTGACTAAAATTATTATCAGTTTATTTCAGTATACAGAAATTTCACCTTCATGATAGGAATATATTTGTATTTTATAACTTTTTATTAAATGCATATTATGGTTATTGCTTAGAGGGGAGGGGACACTAAGGGAAAAAAAGAAAATATATCCCTTTCTATGAAGACACTTCCACTGTGAGTCAGAAAAATAAGACAATTCGCATTCTATAGGTAAAATACAGTTACCACGGAGAGAGCCCGAGGTGTGTGTGTATGGAAATGGTATGTTGGAGAGGGGACGTACAAAAGAGTTAAATAATTTGGAATGTAGAAGCTACTGACATCCCAGCTAAGACCAGAAAAATGAATTACTATTAGCCAATTTGAAGTGGAACTGAGTGATATGGAATCTAAGAAGGCAATAGTAATTGCAAATATTTAGAAGTCAGAGAGACTATGACAAAGATATGCATAAACAACTACTACTTCAAAATTGCCTAAAGGGAGTCAATTAAAGGGACAATGTGAGGAATGAGATTAGAGTGGTAACTCAAGTTTATGCCAGAAAGGATAGAATGCTATGCCAAAAGATTTGAGAGTCAGCTCAATTTTCAAAATATGATTTTATAATTAAAGACCATAAAATATTTTAACTGAATGAGGATGGAACTTATTTAAATACATCCTTCACTTTATATTGTACATAAAAATGGATATATATGTATGCATCCATACAGAAGGAAGCAATATGGAGAAGACAAACCGCGGAAGTGTGCTGAGCTTTGACCACCAATGAATTTACACCATGTGATTTAAGGTGGCCTTCTTTCAGTATTCTCCCATGTAAGCAGACATTGTCATTCCTTCTTCTAATCTCTCTCAGAAGGATAGTGAAGAATTAAAACAACTCAATTTGTAGTAGATAAATTTTATAAATAAATCTATGCCCCTGACAAAATACCTAATTGTCTTTAAGTTTCCTTTCCAAGCAATGACAAAATACACCGCTTATTTTTTCACATTTATGATTAATAAAACATGTGTGCTTAGAAAAAGCAAAAAAGGCTAGCATATTATGTAAAAAAGTAAAACTAAAATGAGATGAAAGTGACAGATTTTGTGATTTACATTGATTGTTAAATTTCCATGTAATCTGAGTCCTGAATATGTGGAGGTTTTGAGTTATATAATATTGCTATATGAATAAAAATATTTTTCTTCTCTAAGTTTCCAAGTTATTTCATCTGAGATTAAAAGTAATCAATAACATTTGTATAATAAAAGTCAGTAACACAAATAAATATATATGAACCTAATAAAATATATAAATTTATTAAGGGTACTTAACTGTACTCACATTCCCTTTCCTTCTGTAAGCATTACCACTTTAATTATTACTACTAATAATAGATGCCATTAGTAGAATGTAGGTTATATGCCAGGCACTGTATCAAGTAATATATATCTATATGAATCCTCTCCAGAACATACAAAAGCTGTGTTTTTGTTCCTTTTATAAAAAACAGCAAACTGATACTTTGTTAATATCAGTTGGTAAATATCACACAAGATAGTAAGTGGAGCAGCCCAGATGAAAACCTTTTTTATTGGTCTCTAGACCCTAGTACAGTATCTCTGCAAAGATACTATAACTCTTTTAAAAAGCTTACAAATAGTGTTGCTGCCTCCACATCACATATTCAAGGAAACATATCAAATATATATTTTTATACTTGCTGCATAGCTAGTAATTACAGATGGAAATAAAACTATTTTTGGTGTCCACCTTGTCTATATTTTCTTGCAGATTCATACTAAGTCCTTTTTTTTTTTTTTTTTTTTTTTTACTGTGGAAACAATTTAAGATTACTTAAGATTTACCAATGTATTTCCTGTAAAAGCACAATTCCACAGAATGCCTACTAATATAAATATCATCAGCAATGCATTTTGGAGCGTAAGTTTGGAATAAAATGATAAAGTCAACATAGAGTTAAACACAAAATTGGAAGATGTCAAACAAACAAAAACTAAATGTTGAAAAGGCATGAAATCCTTTTGATAGCAATGATATTATCAGTTCAAGCAATCTAAAAATATATTCTATTTAAACTGTTAAAATCATTCATTTGATATGTGAACTCCGTGTGTGTGTGTTTGTGTGTGTGTGTGTGTATTTTACACACTGGATATTCATAGAATCTGACTCCATGACATATCTTGTCTATATAAAAAGGCTGGGTCCTAATTTTTAGGCTTTTAAAATTTAGTTTTATTACTAATATATATATATATATCTCTCTTGAATGAGCATGAAAGACATAATAGGTACTACAAATATATCCATGTTTTTTTCATTTGCACGTGCGCATACTCAAGTACACGCCGCTGAGGAAGCACTGAAGAGGAGGAAATGTGGTAGAAATCAAAACCAAGACAAAGCCATGGCAAAGCCAGTACAACTGGCTTTTAAAATGAAGTCTCAAGTGACTAGGGATATCTAATGTCTTTTACTCCAGCTTTCAGTGCTGTAAAACGAGCTGAAATAAAAATACTCAATAATCCCAAAAAATCAGTCCAATTTATCCCAAATTTCTATTTGAATTACCTACATAAAAGTTGATGAAATTTATCAACAAGATGAAAAAGATGAACTTTCAAAAACTTGGAACATGATGGCCTACGTGTAGTAGTTTGCTTTAGAATCTATAATAAAAAGAAATGTACACACATTAATTAATACAATTAACAGACACTAGTATGTTAGTTAATACAATTAACAGACACTAGTATATAATAGTGATTACATACTTACTGAATATGTACCTTGAGGCTGAAGGAAACAGAAAACATTTGGTTGCTATCCAAAATTTGCAAAAGAAAGTTTGGCAAAAGATAGGTAAAAGCTAGAAAAAGATTTTTTTAATGTAAAAGAAACACAAAGTCTGCTTAAAATAGTATAATCCTAAATTTAGATCCTAAGTCATGAATCTAAAGGTAAAGCTTATGGAAAGAGAAATATTCTAGAAAAACTGACACTGTAAAAGAGGGGAAAAGCTAACTTTTCAAATTGAAAAGTAATATAATTCAACATGAGAAAATTCACAGCCTTCTGAGACAAGTTTAAACTAGAAATTAGGTGGGACAAAGAGAATTTGACCATCATCTTGTAAGGGACTTCAATGTCAATAATAAAAGATTTTTTTTAGGTGTTTATTTTCTTTAATCACTAAAATAAAATCCTGATGTAATTTTTTTGATCTTTTTTAAAAAATTATACTTTAAGTTCTAGGGTACATGTGCACAAAGTGCAGGTTTGTTACATATGTATACATGTGCCACGTTGGTGTGCTGCACCCATTAACTGGTCATTTAACATTAGGTATATCTCCTAATGCTATCCCTCCCCCCTCCTTCTACCCCACAATGGCCCCAGTGTGTGATGTCCCCTTCCTGGGTCCAAGTGTTCTCATTGTTCAATTCCCACCTATGAGTGAGAACATGCGGTGTTTGTTTTTTTGTCCTTGCAATAGTTTGCTGAGAATGATGGTTTCCAGCTTCATCCATGTCCCTACAAAGGATATGAACTCATCATTTTTATGGCTGCATAGTATTCCATGGTGTATATGTGCCACATTTTCTTAATCCAGTCCATCATTGTTGGACATTTGGCTTGGTTCCAAGTCTTTGCTGCTGTGAACAGTGCCGCAATAAACATATCTGTGCATGTGTCTTTATAGCAGCATGATTTATAATCCTTTGGGTATATACCCAGTAATGGGATGGCTGGGTCAAATGGTATTTCTAGTTCTAGATCCCTGAGGAATTGCCACACAGACTTCCACAATGGTTGAACTAGTTTACAGTCCCACCAACAGTGTAAAAGTGTTCTTATTTCTCCACATCCTCTCCAGCACCCATTGTTTCCTGACTTTTTAATGATCACCATTCTAACTGGTGTGAGATGGTATCTCATTGTGGTTTTGATTTGCATTTCTATGATGGCCAGTGATGATGAGCATTTTTTTCATGTGTCTCTTAACTGTATAGACGTCTTCTTTTGAGAAGTGTCTGTTCATATCCTTTGCCCACTTTTTGATGGGGTTGTTCATTTTTTTCTTGTAAATTTGTTTGAGTTCTTTGTAGATTCTGGATAATAGCCCTTTGTCAGATGAGTAGATTGCAAAAATTTTCTCCCATTTTGTAGGTTGCCTGTTCACTCTGATGGTATTTGCTTTTGCTATGCAGAAGCTCTTTAGTTTAATTAGATCCCATTTCTTAATTTTGCTTTTGTTGCCATTGCTTTCAGTGTTTTAGACATGAAGTCCTTGCCCATGCCTATGTCCTGAATGGTATTGCCTAGGTTTTCTTCTAGGGTTTTTATGGTTTTAGGTCTAACATTTAAGTCTTTAATCCATCTTGAATTAATTTTTGTATAAGGTGTAAGGAAGGGATCCAGTTTCAGCTTTCTCCATATGGCGAGCCAGTTTTCCCAGCACCATTTGTTAAATAGGGAATCCTTTCCCCATTTCTTGTTTTTGTCAGGTTTGTCAAAGATCAGATAGTTGTAGATATGTGGCATTATATCTGAGGGCTCTGTTCTGTTCCATTGGTCTATATCTCTGTTTTGGTACCAGTACCATGCTGCTTTGGTTACTGTAGCCTTGTAGTATAGTTTAAGTCAGGTAGCGCGATGCCTCCAGCTTTGTTCTTTTGGTTTAGGATTGACTTGGCAATGCGGGCTCTTTTTTGGTTCCATATGAACTTTAAAGTAGTTTTTTCCAATTCTGTGAGGAAAGTCATTGGTAGCTTGATGGGGATGGCATTGAATCTATAAATTACCTTGGGTAGTATGGCCATTTTCATGATATTGATTCTTCCTATCCATGAGCATGGAATGTTCTTCCATTTGTTTGTGTCCTCTTTTATTTCATTGAGCAGTGGTTTGAAGTTCTCCTTGAAGAGGTCCTTCACACCCCTTGTAAGTTGGATTCCTAGGTATTTTATTCTCTTTGAAGCAATTGTGAATGGGAGTTCACTCATGATTTGGCTCTCTGTTTGTCTGTTATTGGTGTATAAGAATGCTTGTGATTTTTGCACATTGATTTTGTATCCTGAGACTTTGCTGAAGTTGCTTATCAGCTTAAGGAGATTTTGGGCTGAGACAATGGGGTTTTCTAGATATACAATCATGTCATCTGCAAACAGGGCAAGATGACTTCCTCCTTTCCTAATTGAATACCCTTTATTTCTTTCTCCTGCCTGATTGACCTGGCCAGAACTTCCAACACTATGTTGAATAGGAGTGGTGAGAGAGGGCATCCCTGTCTTGTGCCAGTTTTCAAAGGGAATGCTTCCAGTTTTTGCCCATTCAGTATGATATTGGCTGTGAGTTTGTCATAGATAGCTCTTATTATTTTGAGATACATCCCATCAATACCTAACTTATTGAGAGTTGTTAGCATGAAGTGTTGTTGAATTTTGTCAAAGGCCTTTTCTGCATCTATTGAGATAATCATGTGGTTTTTGTCTTTGGTTCTGTTTATATGCTGGGTTACGTTTATTGGTTTGCGTATGCTGAACCGCCTCACATCCCAGGGATGAAGCCTACTTGATCATGGTGGATAAGCTTTTTGATGTGTTGCTGGATTCAGATTGCCAGTATTTTATTGAGGATTTTTGCATCAATGTTCATCATGGATATTGGTCTAATATTCTCTTTTTCTGTTGTGTCTCTGCCAGGCTTTGGTATCAGGATGATGCTGGCCTCACGAAATGAGTTAGGGAGGATTCCCTCTTTTTCTATTGATTGGAATAGTTTCAGAAGGAATGGTACCAGCTCCTCCTTGTACCTCTGGTAGAATTCAGCTGTGAATCCGTCTGGTCCAGGACTTTTTTTGGTTAGTATGCTATTAATTATTGCCTCAATTTCAGAGCCTGTTATTGGTCTATTCAGAGATTCACCTTCTTCCTGGTTTAGTCTTGGGAGGCTGTATGTGTCCTGGAATTTTTCCATTTCTTCTAGATTTTCTAGTTTATCTGTGAAGAGGTGTTTATGGTATTCTCTGATGGTAGTTTGTATTTCTGTGGGATTGGGGGTGATATCCCCTTTGTCATTTTTTATTGCATCTATTTGAATCTTCTCTCTTTTCTTCTTTATTAGTATTGCTAGTGGTCTATCAATTTTGCTGATCTTTTCAAAAAAGTTTTTTTTTTTTTTCAATAAAAAGCTCCTGGATTCATTGATTTTTTGAAGGGTTTTTTGTGTCTCTATTTCCTTCAATTCTGCTCTGATCTTAGTTATTTCTTGCCTTCTGCTCGCTTTGAATGTGTTTGCTCTTGCTTCTCTAGTTCTTTTAATTGTGATGTTAGGGTGTCAGTTTTAGATCTTTCCTGCTTTCTCTTGTGGGCATTTAGTGCTATAAATTTCCCTCAACGCACTGCTTTAAATGTGTCCCAGAGATTCTAGTTTGTTGTGTCTTTGTTCTCATTGGTTTCAAAAAACATCTTTATTTCTGCCTTCATTTAGTTATGTACCGAGCAGTCATTCAGGAGCAGGTTGTTCAGTTTCCATGTAGTTGAGCGGTTTTGAGTGATTTTCTTAATCCTGAGTTCTAGTTTGATTGCACTGTGGTTTGAGAGATAGTTTGCTATAATTTCTGTTCTTTTACATTTGCTGAGGAGTGCTTTACCTCCAACTATGTGGTCAATTTTGGAATAAGTGCAGTGTGGGGCTGAGAATAATGTATATTCTGTTGATTTGGGGTGGAGAGTTCTGTAGATGTCTATCAGGTCCACTTGGTGCACAGCTGAATTCAATTCCTGGATATACTTGTTAACTTTCTGTCTTGTTGATCTGTCTAATGTTGACAGTGGGGTGTTAAAGCCTCCCATTATTATTGTGTGGGAGTCTAAGTCTCTTTGTAGGTCTCCAAGGACTTGCTTTATGAATCTGGGTGCTCCTGTAATGGGTGCATGCATATTTAGGATAATTACTTCTTCTTGTTGAATTGATCCCTTTACCATTATGTAATGGCCTTCTTTGTCTCTTTTGATTTTTGTTGGTTTAAAGGCTGTTTTATCAGAGACTAGGATTGCAACCCTTGCCTTTTTTTTTGTTTTCCATTTGCTTGGTAGCTCTTCCTCCATCCCTTTATTTTGGGCCTATCTGTGTCTCTGCACGTGAGATGGGTTTCCTGAATACAGCATACTTATTGGTGTTGACTCTTTATCCAATTTGCCAGGCTGTGTCTTTCAGTTGGAGCATTTAGCCCATTTACATTTAAGGTTAATATTGTTATGTGTGAATTTGATCCTGTCATTATGATGTTAGATGGTTATTTTTCTTGTTAGTTGATGCAGTTTCTTCCTAGCCTCGATTGTCTTTACATTTTGGCATCTTTTTGCAGTGGCTGGTATTGGCTGTTCCTTTCCATATTTAGTGCTTCTTTCAGGAGCTCTCGTAGGGCAGGCCCGGTGGTGACAAAATCTCTCAGCATTTGCTTGTCTGTAAAGGATTTTATTTCTCCTCCACTTATGAAGCTTATTTTGGCTGGATATGAAATTCTGAGTTGAAAATTCTTTTCTTTAAGAATGTTGAATATTGGCCCCCTCTCTCTTCTGGCTTGCAGAGTGTCTGCTGAGAGATCAGCTGTTAGTCTGATGGGCTTCCCTTTGTGGGTAACCTGACCTTTCTCTCTGGCTGCCCTTAACATCAACATTTTTTCCTTCATTTTAACTTTGGTTCTGACAACTACGTGTCTTGGAGTAGCTCTTCTCGAGGAGTATCTTTGTGGTGTTCTCTGTGTTTCCTGAATTTGATTGTTGGCCTGCCTTGCTAGATTGGGGAAGTTCTCCTGGATAATATCCTGCAGAGTGTTTTCCAACTTGGTTCCATTCTCCCCGTCACTTTCAGGTACACCAATCAGACGCAGATTTGGTCTTTTCACATAGTCCCATATTTCTTGGAGGCTTTGTTCGTTTCTTTTCATTCCTTTTTCTCTAAATTTCTCTTCTCACTTCATTTCGTTCATTTGATCTTCCATCACTGATACCCTTTCTTCCAGTTGATCGAATCAGCTACTGAAGCTTGGGCATTCGTCACGTAGTTCTCGTGACATGGTTTTCATCTCCATCAGGTCCTTTAAGGACTTCTCTACACTGGTTATTCTAGTTAGCCATTCGTCTAATCTTTTTTCAAGGTTTTTAACTTCTTTGCCATGGGTTCGAACTTCCTCCTTTAGCTTGGAAACGTTTGATCCTCTGAAGCCTTCTTCTCTCAGCTCGTCAATGTCGTTCTCCGTCCAGCTTTGTTCCATTGCTGGCAAGGGGCTGCACTCCTTTGGAGGAGGAGAAGTGCTCTGATTTTTAGAATTTTCAGTTTTTCTGCTCTGTTTTTTCCCCATCTTTGTGGTTTTATATACCTTTTGTCTTTGATGATGGTGACGTATAGATGGGGTTTTGGTGTGGATGTCCTTTCTGTTTGTTAGTTTTCCTTCTAACAGTCAGCACCCTCAGCTGCAGGTCTGTTGAGTTTGCTGGAGGTCCACTCCAGACCCTGTTTGCCTTGGTATCAGCAGTGGAGGCTGCAGAATAGCGAATATTGGTGAACAGCAAATGTTGCTGCCTGATCGTTCCTCTGAAAGTTTCATCTCAGAGTGGTACCAGTTCTTGTGAGGTGTCAGTCTGCCCCTACTGGGCAGACACATAATTAGCCTCCCAGTTAGGCTACTCGCAGGTCAGGGATCCACTTGGGGAGGCAGTCTGTCCGTTCTCAGATCTCAAGCTCCGTGCTGGAAGAAACACTACTGTATTCCAAGCTGTCAGACAGGGACATTTAAGTCTGCAGAGGTTTCTGCTGCCTTTTGTTCGGCTATGCCCTGCCACCAGAGGTGGAGTCTACAGAGGCAGGCAGGCCTCCTTGAGCTGCGGTGGGCTCCACCCAATTCCAGCTTCCAGGCTGCTTTGTTTACCTACTCAAGCTTCAGCAATGGCGGGCGCCCCTCCCCCAGCCTCGCTGCTGCCTTGCACTTTGATCTCAGACTGCTGTGCTAGCAATGAGCGAGGCTCTATGGGTGTAGGACCCTCTGAGCCAGGCGTGGAATATAATCTCCTGGTGTGCCGTTTGCTAAGACCATCGGAAAAGCGCAGTATTAGGTTGGGAGTGACCCGATTTTCCAGGTGCCGTCTGTCACCCCTTTGCTTGGGTAGGAAAGGGAATTCCCAGACCCCTTGAGCTTCCTGGGTGAGGCGATGCCTCGCCCTGCTTCAGCTCATGCTTGGTGCGCTACACCCACTGTCCTGCACCCACTCTCTGACAATCCCCAGTGAGATGAACCCGGTACCTCAGTTGGAAATGCAGAAATTAACCATCTTCTGCATCGCTCACACTGGGAGCTGTAGACTGAAGCTGTTCCTATTTGGCCATCTTGGAACCGCCCCCAAGATTATTTAAATAAAACAAAAGCAAGAGAGACACAGAGAGAATCATAGGGATTGCTTAATGATGCCAAGGCCAAAGATGAGCTCAGGAATGAAAATGCAACATTATACAGATCACATTGATCATTGTCACCCACCTTTAATGGGGGCATGCATATCACTGAAGACATCAGTAGAATCTTCAAGAAACACAGCCAAGCAAATAAAACCTCCTCTCATGGAACACAAAATTTTCGGGAGCTATCAAGGAGACACTAAACTTTATTAATATAATTTTTTTGTTGTAGAAAATTGCTAACTTGAAAAAAAGGGAGACTTATAAAAAGAACTCTTATGCAATCATTACCCAGATTTAACAATGGATATTGGAATTAAATAAGAACACAGGCTGGCTCTCTCCACGTTGCTAAGTTCCTGCAGAGAATGCCAGGAAGTCCAAAGAAATCTGGATTTGGAATGTGCTTTTTAAGTAATTATCAAAGTATACTTTCCAAGATAAGAGGTTAGAACATATTTTATTCCATGGTTTTTAAAGCTTTATTTATAACTTCAATATTTAGACTTACATTCTGTGAGCCTTCATTCATATTCTTGGCCTGGGACCCACAAGTGTTAATAGTTGGCCTGTTAATGAGATGCTTTCAGTTTTTGGGTCCCCATACCTCAGGAAAAGCAATGTGAGGTTTTAAAAAATTGCAGAAAAGGACAAAGGGATAGGAAACTTATTTCAGGTTTGTATGTTTAAAAAATGGGTCAAGACTCTAAACACAAACAGAAATGAAGGAATGTCAGTAAATCAATAATACAACATCTGGATAACATATTTATTTTTATTCAGCCTTATGCTACCTGAACTAGAAAACTGCCTGACATCCTTCACTGTGACCACTCTGAGAGCAGATTGCAGGTGATTTTTACAAGAAATAATAGGGCTTACAAAATTAAACAGTATACTTTATATTTATGGAATTGAACACCTATAAGAGATTGTACAAACTAAAAATATGACTAGATTTAAGAACTTGGGTGATTTCATTTATGAATGAGACAGACTGATAAAAAATATGAATTGGAAAACTTAGTATATTTAGAGATTGAAATCATTAGGAATACTTGTACCCAGATAACTGTGCGTCATATTCTAGATGTAAAGGATATGTAGTTTTGTTTTGCTTTTTGTTTTTAATGAGTAATATGGTTTGATTCTGTGTCCCCACACAAATCCCATGTGAATTACAATCTCTTTGTATCAGGGGAGGGCCCTGGTGGGAGATGATTAAATCATGGAGGCAGATTTCCCCCTTGCTGTTCCCTTGATAGTGAGTTCTCACGAGATGTGGTTGTTTAAAAGGATGGCCCTTCCCACTTTGCTCTCTCTTTCTCTCTCTCTGTCTTTCCTGCCACCATGTGAAGAAGGTGCTTACTTCCCCTTCTCCTTCCATCATGAGCATAAGTTTCCTGAGGACTCCCAGTCATGCTTCCTGTTAGGGCCTGTGGTACTGTGAGTCAATTAAACCTCTATTCTTTACAAATTACCCAGTCTCAGGTAGTTCTTTATAGCAGTGTGAAAATGAACTAATACAATGTGAGTTGAATTATGATTTCTATTTCAATTCTAAAATTTCCAGTTTCTAGATTTTTTCAAAGAGTACATTGCAGTATATTTAAACACTGGCAAAGTTTCACTAATAATGGATTATACAAATATATATTTGATTTCTTTAGTACTTAAGACAGGCTAATCCATTTCTTCTAGTTTAATACTCTTACCAATAAGGTAAAGCTAATTAAGAAAGGCCTCGTAAAGAGGGACATAAAAGAGATGGCTTTGAGTTAGATCCTTTAGAAGCTAGAAACACAAATTTCCAGGATAAAAACAGTGGGCATTTAGTGACTGATCAGGAAAGGCATGATAGAAACTCTGATTGGAAATATCATCCAAATTGCTTTGGCTCTGCCCCTCCACATTCAAGACATCAGTTAATTACATCTCTAAAATGTATTTCACAATCACTTCTTTTTATATCTACTGCCTCCACCCCAGCCTACTACCTAGGGTGCAGAGGGGAGTGAAGTATAGATGTGTGCTGGGTGTGTACAAGCCACCACCACCTTTTATTCCAATGGCCTCTGCACTGTCTGGAACTGTGTACCTCCAAAATTCATGTCTACTTGGAGCCCGTGAATGTGACTTTACTTGGAAATAGGGCCTTTGCAGATATAATCACATTAAAAAGAGATTATACTTGATAAGGATTGGCCACAAATCAAATAAGACAAGTGTTCTTTATAAGAAGAGGGACATTTGGACACAGCTACACAGACACACAGAAGAGAGGGTCATGTGAAGACAGAGGTAGAAACTAGAAAGTGTAGATCCATCTACAAGCCAAGCAACTTCAAAAATTGCCAGCAACCATTTGAAGCTAAAAGAGGTCAAGAAGACTCCTTTTCTAGAGCCCTCAGAGGAAATATGGCTCTGCCCACATCTTGATTTCAGATTTATGGTCTCAAGAAAGACTTCTGAGAAAATAAATTTCAATTGTTTTAAGTCAGCCAGTTTGTGGTACTTTGTTACGGAAGCCACAGGAAACTAATACAGCCTCCTAACTCATTTTCCTGTCTTCATCCATACCTTCTCCACTACATAGTTTCTGTAAATAATAGCAGAGTAACATGAAAATGTAATTTGGATCACATCAGTCTCCTTCTTGAACACACTAACAGTTTTCCATTCCAATAGAGTAGTCATGAGGCACAGGTGACAAATGAGCACCTGAAATGCAGCTGCTGTAAACTGAGATGTTTGTGTCAAATACACAATGGATTTTAAAAGAATCAGTACAAAAAAGTTTCACTCACAAAATATTTCATGAATAACTATATATTTATTGCATCTTAAAATCATACGATTTTGGATATATTAATTTAAGTATAACATATTTAGCATACTAAATTACACACATGACTACCATTTGCTTCTTGTTTTATACTGTTATTGCAGCATTCTGGTTTATATAATAAAAATTAAACTTTTTACCATGATGTACAGCCAGCCCCTGCCTTATATCACCTTATCTATTTTATCACCTTCATCTCATATTAACACAACTCTTTCACTTGCAAACATGACTCTCCTCACACTCATTTTCTTTCAGTTTCTTGAATGGATCAAGATCTTCACCACTTGAGGAAGTTTTAACCTACTATTCCTTCATCTGGAATCTTCTGCATATTAGGTGCCACTGCCTTACAGATATTCTTTTTAAAGTAGATTCTTATCTCCAAGTGATTCTCTGTCTTAATATCTTTTTTGCTAAATGTCATTTTGACTGACAATTATTTCTTTTATTTGTGGTTTGCCTATGTTTGGTCTGCCTTCTGCACTAGTATTTAAGTTCCTTAGAGCAGGGACCATGTTTATTTAGTACCATATTGACTCCACACTTCCTTATATACTTTTAGGCACACTCTAGATACTCTATTGTTTTTAAAAAATGAAGAATTGGGTGGATGAGAGAATATGCATAAGGCTGGAGTGGCATCAGAGATCAGCTTTTGAACTTGACATTTGCAGACACATTTGCTATTGGAAGTTAATATTGATGACATGACAAGTCCAGCAAAATTTCTGGCATTTGTATCATATATAAATTTAAGTAGGGAAAGATTGGAAATGAAATCTGAACTAAGGGTTTATTCCAGTAATTCTGGTCTGCAAAGATACTTTATGATAAGACAAAAGAAAGTAAGAAAAAAAAACAGTACAAAGAGAAAAGTGAGGATATTAAACAACGGGTAAAAATCAAATATACGTCTGAGAAATTGATACTGTAACATCACATGACAAATGTTTACTTTCATACGCAGATTAGAATTTCTTTTATTAAAAAAGAATCTTATATACTCCATTTTCACTATTGCCTGAATTTTACATTGTGAGTGAAAGATTAATGAGGTGATTCATCCAATTAATGATGAAAATTAATGAAAATTAATGAGGTGATTCATCCAAAGGATGACGATTTTTTGAATCATCATCCAAAAAATGATGAATACAGACATATCTTCTACAGGAAATAGGTCCAGAAGAATTTTTCAACACATCAAGTCCCAAACATTCCCTCACTAGCAGCATCCTGGTGTAAACAGATACATTCTATTTGTCAGGGGCTCTCCATTCCCTTGGCCCATATTTGCATTAGGGAATTTCTGCTCTACATCTCTCTCACTTTTATTCATCTATAAACTGGTAGGTGACCTTGGGATAAAGAAACATACTCTGCTTCTTATTGACATGATCTGTCTACAGGATGAAGTTTCAACTTGTCTAGGCATAAGTTTATAGGCTCTTGCCCTGTGGTAAAGGTCTGCAATTTTCCCTTTATGTCAGCAACTCCAGTAGGTCACTTCAGTTCAGAGAAGAATGTACTAGAAGCTTATATGGCTGCATTCCAATACAAGTTAGGATAGCATTGCATTATAGTTCAATTTGTCTGAATTTTCTATTTTGCAATTTATTGCCCCCCTTTAAGCCTCAAGATGTGCACACGCACACATACAAATACATTCACACACACAATGAATTTGGAGTAATAGGGTTTGAATATAGGCATTGCGAAGATTTAGGAGAGTTAAAATGGCACTGACTAATACAACAACCATAAGTCCTTAATTCAACCTTGAAAATTATTCTCATTAAAAAAAACCAGAACCCTTGCATCACTAGAAACAGAAACCTGCCAACAGTATTGAGACTGAGATCTTGAATATATGATAAAGATTTTTCCAGCTTTAACTTGCTTGATATTTTTATTGAGGAAGATCAGGATATAATACCCTGCCCACTTAATCACTATGGTTTAAAAATAAGATTCCTATTTTAAAGAAAATATTCGGTTTTTTAGGAGATTGTGAGCATTTTATTTTATGGTATTGATTTAATTTCAATGTGTATAAAAATTCTTATAGTAAACCGTGAAGTGACACAAAAGTCTCCAAGACAGTCATTCATTAACAGTAATATGCTGATGACAGCATTCCAGAAACACAAGCATAAGGGAGACAAGAATAAGATCACTAGACACTTGCAGAGTCAGCATGGTATTACAGGTTGACGATCAGCTAGAAAACAATTGATGTCATGAATCAAACTTCACCAGACAAACTGTATACACAGACCAAACTTCACTGACAAACTCAAGAAATTCTGAGTGCCATGAAATTCATTATCCTTCAAGTTTCCTTCAGCATAGTCATGAGCAAAAATTAAAAATAAAGTCAAATCCGTATATGTATTATCTGAATAGCAAAATATAAGAAGACAGAAAACCTAAAGAGATTACACGTGACTAGAGGAATTACTCAGTTGCTTTAGATGTCTGTTTATTCATCTTTCAAATAGAAATGGTAGCAAAGACATTTAAAGCTGGACTTAATTGATTCCAACAAATATTTAATGAGTATCTGTAATTTATTAATTCAGCCATCAGTAATAGCACATTTAATTATGCAAATTAAACTGTGCTCACTTTTTCTCTCTGTGTAATTAGAACTAAAATAAAATTGTATATTTAAATATACATTGTATTATTTTGCATATTTATATTTATAAACAAAACTAGTTATGCGACATTTTGGCTAAATGTTCACAGTGAGCCCTTTTAGAGTCCAACTCCTGAGTAGGACACAACTCCACTATACAGCTAGCAGAAGAGGCGCAGGCCCCGAGCAAAGGAGTGGGATGTATAGAGAGCAGCACACAATGCTCTCATGACATAGAGAGTTGTAAGCAAAGGGTCATTGTTCTCGCTATTTCACTGCTTCTACTTCGAAGGAGAGATAGACTTCCAATAAGCAAATGTTTTACCAGGTAAAAAACGACAAATTTTGGTAAGTGATATAAAGGGAAGTTAGGAGAAAGAATAACATAAAGATGCCATTTCTATTTGACACTCATGGTGGGCCTTAGTGAAGAAATGACATTTAAGGTTATAGGACAAGGACACAGCCAGGCAGTAAGCAAGGGATTGTTTCAGAAAGAAAAACTGGATAAAGTTCAAGAGGCGTGGGGGAGGAGTATATGCATTTTTTCTTAAGAAACTAATATATGTGTGTGTGTGTGTGTGTGTGTGTGGTGTGACTAGAACGTAGTGAGCAAGGAGAATATTGGCACAATTGTAGGCTCTACAAAATGCTCAATTTTATGTTTAGATCAGTGGGAAATCATAGAAGTGTTTCTAGCACAATTCAATTGTATTTAACCAACATCATTCTGTCTGTTGTATGCAGAAGAAATTAGAGGTAGGGATGATATCGGAGAAAGGAAATTTAGAGGATAATGCAATTGTCTAGAGGAAATGCTTTTTGCAAAAGGGATAGAGTCCTATCTATTTTCCAGACTCAAAATAAGAGTTAGATTTAAAAGTGAATAATTAATTGTAATTGGTAGGTTTAGCAAAAGGGAACAGTAAAGAACAACTCCCAAGTTTCTGTTCTGAGCAAATGGGAGGCTGGTTGATGGTGATATTCCTGATATGAGAAACACTTCAGGAGAAGCAGGTTCAATTGGAGATGGGATGAATGGGCGAAGAAGAAGCAGGATGAACTGAAAATAAGGGTGAATGGGAGATACTGAGCATAATGAAAAGTGAGATAACTGTGAAACATCCAAGCAGGTATGTAGTGATACACATCATATAACAGGGTTTAGCTGATGAAAGCTATAAATACTGCTAGTATCTGGGCTAAGAACACAAGGAATCTTTACATGAATGCATTCGTTGTTTCAGATGGTTGCAAACATGCTACTTTTCTGACCAGGCCCCCCCTTATTGCTCCCGTCACACATACATACTTTCCCGGGAACTTTACCTTCCTCCACTCATGACACATGGCTAATGCCAGAGCATTCAGGCATTATAATATGATCACACTGTCATGATTCATTGATTTTTAGGGAACAGATCCTCTTTCCAAGCTAGAATAGGAAACCTTTCTGGCAATTATGGTATAAGGAATAAAAAGAAAATAAGTTAATATTTTTGTGGTACTTAAGTCAAAAGTAAAAAAGCTTGAGAGCAAACAATGGTTAAGTTTATGCTCAAGTAGAACAGAGAAATAGCAGAGGTTTGCTTCTACAAAGAAAAAGAAAGAAAACAGGAAGCAAAGAAGACAAAATTAAAGAACAGCACAAATGAGTGCAGAGAGTGAAAGTATCAATTGTGTTGTTAATTACAGTTGGTATTGGCACTGGCTCTCAGTCCTGTTTGATGAGTCATCCCCATGGTCTTTTGATAAATTTCCGTTTAGTTTAAGATAAATCAAATTGTCCTTCTGACAATTACAGTCAAAAGAGAACCAGTCAAGGAAAAGATAAAACCAAGACCAAGAGTCAAAGAAACAAAACCAATTCAAAAGAAATAAACATATAAAAAGATCTCAGTAAATGGTGTTAGAATCATAAGTTGCCAACTTCATGTACAGTTTTGTTTCCTGTCAAAAAAAATTATTAATTTTTCATTTAAATAAATTATTAGGAATTTAAAAATCAATAGTAAAATTTTAACTATAAAAGGTAAAAATTCATGTATGTCTATGTTTACTACTTTCAGGTTGGTTACTATGTTTACCTGTCTTACCTATTTTTTTTTTTTTTTGAGACAGAGTATCACTCTGTCACCCAGGCTGGAGTGCAGTGGTGTGATCTTAGCTCACTGAAACCTCCACCCCTGGGTTCAAGTGATTATCCTGCCTCAGTCTCCTGAGTAGCTGGGATTACAGGCACCTGCCAATGCATCTGGCTAATTTTTGTATTGAAGTAGATCTGTTCCCTGAAAATCAATGAACCATGACAGTCTAATCATATTGTGGTGCCTGAAAGCTCTGGCAGTAGCCATGTGCCTTGAGTGGAGGAAGGTGTTTACTTTCCATTTACTTGGTGGTTTTGGTATTGATTTCTAATTTTATTGCACTGTGGTCTGAGAAGTTGCTTGATATGTATATTAGTCTGTTTTCATGCTGCTGATAAAGACATACCCGAGACTGGGAAGAAAAAGAGGTTCAATTGGACTTACAGATCCAGACGGCTGAGGAGGCCTCAGAATCATGGCAGGAGGTGAAAGGCACTCCTTACATAGTGGTGGCAAGAGAAAATGAAGAAGATGCAAAAGTGGAAGCCCCTGATAAACCCATCAGATCTTGTGAAACTTATTCACTACCACGAGAATAGCATGGGAAAGGCTGGTCACCATGTTTTGATGACCTCCTCCTGGGTCCCTCCAACAACACATGGGAATTCTGGGAGATACAATTCAAGTTGAGATTTGGAGAGGGACACAGCCAAACCATATCAATATGATTTTGATTTCTTTGAATTTATTGAGACACTGTTTATGATCAAGAATGTAGTCAATTTTAGAGAATGGTCAATGTGCGGTGGTAGCAGCCAAAGGGTGTACCTGCCAGCTGCAGCTGTGCTGCATTCAGGAACAAAAGGTTAAAGTCTATATAAATGAACATGTGCCCTGTGAGAGGGGCATGATAGGGAAGTGGATCATGTCCCTGCCTGCTTAGGACAAGGAGCTAGTGCACCATCCCCTTGTCCCCTCCCCTGAGATCTCAATACACCCAACAGGATCTCTGCCTGCCATATCCCACTTGGTCAGGGCAGGTGCTTCCACTCATCATCAACCTACTTGAGGGCAAGACAGATGTTACTCTTAATCACCATCTACTGGACTGGATCCTGAACTGTACAACCAAATTAAAAACCTGCTGCCAGAAGGGCTCACTGCTAGTCCATAAAATAAGCTTCCTGAGTCCTTCCTCCTCACCCTAAGCCTTGCAGGAGGCATATGTCTAACACATCACTACAACAAGCAGCATCTGAAAAAGCCAGAAGCTAGCCCCAAATAAGGAACCCAAACAGAGCACTGGGCCCCTCAAAGCACCCAGAAATAAAGCCAAAATATCATAGAAAACATACAACACAATCACACATTCAAGCATTCAAGGGAGAAAGGAATACAAAAAAAAATCTTCCATCCAAATGATAGCAAAAACAAAAATAAAAAGGTACATCTCCCTTAGATGAGAAGGAATCAGCACAACTTGAGCAGTACAAAAAGCCAGAGTATCTTGATATCTTCCAAAGGATCATACTAGCTATCTAGCAATGGATCCTAACCAAAATTAAAAATCTAAAATGACATATGAATAATTCAAAATATGTATTTCCAGGAAATTCAGTGTGATCCAAGAGAAAGTTAAAATTCAGCACAAAGAAACCAGAAAAAAAATGCAAGATATAAAACATGACATAACTATACTAAAACAAAACAAAACAAAATAAAAAAAATAGAACTTATAGTATTGAAAAATTCATGAAAGGAATTTCAAAATACAATTGAAAGCTTTAACAATAGCCTAGATCAAGCAGAAGAAAGAATTTTAGATATTGGAAGCCAGTTTTTGAATTAACTCAGACAAAAATAAAGCCAAAAGAACTTTAAAAAATGAAGAAAGTCTTTAAGAAATATCGGATTATGAAAAACAACCAAACCTATGACATATTGGCATTCATGAGGAAGAAGAAAAAGACAACCTGGAAAACACTGGAAGAAATAATTTAGGAAAATTTCCCTAACCTTTCTAGAGAGGTTGACATCCAAATACAAGAAAGAAAATCAGAGACCACCTGTAAGATACTACACAAGATGACCATCACCAAAGCACATAGTCATGAGATTATCCAAGGTCAACATGAAGGGGGAGAAAAAAATCTTAAGGGCAGCTTGAGAAAAGGGACAAGTTACCCATAAAGAAAATCCCATTAGACTAACAGCTGACTTCTCAACAAAAACCTTATCAGCTAGAAGAGATTGGGGGCCTATTTTTACCCTCTTAAAGAAAAAAACATGCCAGCCAAGAATTTATATCCTTCAAAATGAAGCTTCATAATCAAATGAATAACGATGTCTTTCATAGACAAACAAATGCTAAGAGATTTCTAGAATGGCCCTATAATAAATGTTCAAAGGAATTCTAAACATGGAAATGAAAGGACAATACTTGCTACCATAAAAGCACCCATAAGTACAAAATTCACAGATCCTGTAAAGCAATTATACAATTGAGACTACAAAGCAACTAGCTAACAATACTATGATGGGAACAAAACCTCACATATCAATATTAACCTTGAAGGTAAACAGCCTAAATACTCCACTTAAAAGACAAAAATGGAAAATCGGATTAAAAAAAAAGAGAGACCCAACCATCTACTGCGTTCAAGAGACATATCTCATGCAAAATGACAGCCCTAGGCTCAAAGTAAAAAGATAAAGAAAGATGTATCATGCAAATGAAAAACAAGAAAGAGCAGGGGTTGCTATTTTAGTATCAGATAAAACAGGCTTTAAATAAACAACAGTTTTTTTAAAAAAAGTCAAATTAGAGCATTATGTGATGCTAAATGATTCAATTTAAGAAGATTTAACTATCCTAAATATACACACATGTAACATCAAAGCACACAGATTTATAGAACAAATACTACTAGACCAAGAGATAGACAGTCATCCAATAGTAGTGGGGAACTGCAACACCCCACCAACAGCACTAAACCAATAATCCAAGCAGAAAACTAACAAAGAAACTCTGAACTTAAATTAGACTTGACCAAATGACCTAAAAAAATCTACAGAACACTCAACCCAAAAATTGCAGAATATACATTTTTCTTATCTGCTCATGGAACATTCTCTAAAATTGACCACATTCTTGATCATAAAGAGATTCTCAACACATTCAAAGAAATCAAAGTCATATCAAGCAACTTCTCAGACCACAGTGCAATAAAATTAGAAATCAATACTAGAACTACACAAGAAAATGAAAAAAACAACAAACAAAATAAAAACCCAACTTGCTCCTGAATGACTTTTGCGCAAATAACTAAAGCAGAAATTTAAAAAGTTGAAACAAATGAAAATAGAGACACAACATACAAACACTTCTGTGACACAGAAAAAGCAGTGTTAAGAGGAAAGTTTATATTACTAAATTTCAAACGAAATAAAATGTTGATTCTTTAAAAGGATAAACAAAATTGATAGACCACTAGCTACATTAACCAAGAAAAATAGATTTCAGTAAGCATCATCAGAAATGACAAAAGTGACATTACAACTGATACCACAGAAATACAATACGTTCTCAGAGACTGCTAAGAACATCTCTACGCAGACAATCTAGAAAACCCAAAGGTAATGGATAAATTCCTGGAACTGCACCACCTCTAAAAATTGAACCAGGAAGAAACTGAAACTCTGAGCCTACCAATAATGAGTTCCAAAATTGAATCAGTAATAAAAATATCTACAAAAAAAAAAAAAAAAACTCTGGGACCAGAGGGTTTCACAGCAGAATTCTATCAGATAGGCAAAGAAGATCTGCAAAGAAGATCTGGTACCAATCTTACTGAAATTATTAAAAACAAACAAGGAGGGGGGAATGCTTCCTAATTCATTCTAGGAAACGAGTATCACCTTGATACGAAAACCTGGCAAGGACACAACAGAAAAAGAAAACTATAAGTCAACATCCCTGATGAACACAGATGCAAAAATCCTCAGTACAATGCTAGCAAACCAAATCAAACAGCACATCAAAAGATAATCCATAACAATCAAGTGAATTTTGTTACTAGGATGAAACAATGGTTCAACATATGCAAATCAATCATCGTGATTTATCACATAAACAAAATTTTTAAAAAACCCTATCATTATCTCAGTAGAGGCAGAAAAAGTTTTACATAAAATCCAACATCCTTTCATGATAAAAACCCTCAACAATCTAGGCATCAAATAAACATATCTCAAAATAATAAGATCCATATATCACAAACCCACAACCAACATGATACTGAATGGTAAAAGTTGAAAGAATTCTTTCTAAGACCTAGAACAAGACAAGAATATCCACTCTCACCACTCTTATACAGCATAATACTGGAAGTCCTTGCCAGAGCAATCAGGCAAGCAAAACAAAGAAAAGGCATGTAAATAAAAGAGAGGAAGTCAAACTATCTCTCTTTGTGATTAAATGATTTTATACATAGAAAGCCCTAAAGATTCCTCCAAAAAATGCCTAGACCTGATCAATGAATTAAATAAAGTTGCAGGACATAAATTAATGTACCCAAAATCAATTGTATTTCTATACATCAACAATATTCAAGCTGACAACCAAATAAAGAATTCACTTCCATTTACAATTGCCACAAAAAATAAAATAAAATACCTAAAAATATATTTCATTTAACCAAGAAGGTGAAGCATCTCTACAACAAGAACTACAATACACTGGTGAAAGAAATCATCAATGACACAAAGAAATAGAGAAACATGATATGCTCATAGATAGAACAAACCAATGTTGTTAAAATGACTACACATCCCAAAAAAATCTACAGATTCAAATAAATTCCTATCAAATGACCAATGTCATTTTATACAGAATTAGAAAAATCAATGCTAAAAATAACATGGAACCAAAAAATGCCTAAATACCCAAAGCAATCATAAGCATTAAAAACAAAACCAGAGACAGTACATTATCCAACTTCAAACCATACAAAAGGCTCTAATAACCAAGACAGTATGGTACCAATACATAAACAGACACATAGAGCAGTGGAACAGAATAGAGAACCCAGAAAAAAGCCACACATCTACAATGAACTAATCTTCAACCAAGTATACAAAAATAAACAATGGGGAAAGTACTCCTTATTCAATAAATGGTGCTGAGAGAACTAGCTAGCTATATACAGAAGAATTAAACTGGACCCTTACTTCTCAACATACTACAAAAATTAACTCAAGACAGATTAAAGATTTAAGGCCAGGGATGGTGGCTCACACCTGTAATTCCACCACTTTGGGAGGCCAAGGCGGGGGAATCACCTGAGGTCAAGAGTTCAAGACCAACCTGGCCAACATAGTGAAACCCCGTCTCTACTAAAAATACAAAAAAAAAAAAAAATTAGCCAGGCATGGTGTCAGGCACCTGCAATCCCAGCTACTCAGGAGGCTGAGGCAGGAGAGTTGCTTGGAAACTTAGAGTTTGCAGTGAGCTGAGATCGTGCTATTACACTCCAGCCTGGGCGACAAGAGCAAGACTCTGTCTCAAAAAAAAAAAAAAAAAAAAAAAAAAAAAAGATGGATTAAAGATTTAAAAGTAAGGCCTCAAACTATAAGAATCCTAGAAGAAAATCTAGGAAAAACTCTTCTGTGTATTCACCTAAGTAAATAATTTATGATAAAGAACTCAAAAGCAAATGGAACAAAAAGAAAAGTAGACAAATGGGACTTACTTAAACTAAAGAGCTATGCACAGCAAAAGAAACTATAAACAGAGTAAACATACATCCTACAGAATGGGAGAAAATATTTGCATACTATGATTCTGATAAAGGACTAAGATTCAAAATTTATAAGGACCTTAAACAATCAACAAGAAAAAATAAATAACTCCATCAAAAAGTGGGCAAAGGTCATCAGACACTTCTCTAAAGAAAACATACAAGTTGCCAACAAACATATGAAAAAACCTTCAACATCACTAATCATCAGAGAAATGCAAATGAGATACCATCTCAAACCAGTCAGAATGGCTTTTATTAAAAAGTTGAAAAATAACAAATGTTGGTATACATATGGAGAAAAGGGAATACTTATATACTGTTCATGGACAATGTAAATTAGTTCAACTCCTACGGAAAATGGTAGAAGATTTCTCAAAGAACTAAAAATAGAACTACCTTTCAACCCCACTACTGGGTATTTACTCAAAGGAAGATCTTTTCATCAAAAAGACACTTGCACTCTTATGTTTACTGCAGCACTATTCACAATAGTAAAGTCATGAAACCAACCTTAGTGTTTATCAAACAAGAATTGGGTAAGAAAATGTGGTGTCTATAAACCATGGAATTCTACAGAGCCATATAGAAGAATGAAATTATGTTCTTCACAGCAACATGGATAGAGCTGGAGGCCATTATCCTAAGTGAAGTAACTCAGAAACAGAAAATCAAACACCATATGTTCTCACTTATAAGTGGGAATTGGAAATAAGGGGTACACATGGATATAAAGATGGAAATAATAGACATTGGGGACTTCAAAAGAGGGGAGGTTATGAGAGGGAGTTGAGGGTTGATAAACCACCTATTGGATACTCTCTTCACTATTTGGGTGATGGGTTCCCTTGAAACCCAAACACTAGCATTACACAATATACCCATGTAACAAACCTGCAAAAGAACCCAGGAATCCATAATAAATAAAAATGTTATGATTTTATATGTATATATTATTTAGAGTAAAAAAAAGTGTAATTGGTCCCCAAATATAAAACAAAATTCAATTGAAATACAATTTTCAGAGAAAAAAGGAAAAATTTGTAAGATTCAATGTCTCATAGAAATTCTTTTAATTTCACTCTCCTTTCTTTACATGTGAATCTGTAATGGTTATGTACCATTGCATTTTGCTGTTGTTATGTTATTTGATAAATCTTGAAGATATTTAGACTAATTTTTGAACCACATTAAACATTTTTTGCATATCTCTATTTTTACTTTCAGTTATTCCTTAAGTTAAATTGTAAGAATAGAATTAATCAAATAGTATTTTAAGAATATCTTCATGGCTCATTCTAAATATTTGTTAAATTGTGTCCCAAAATATTGTTAACAAGCAAAAATGTCACTAGAAATAAAATGTGTGTACCAGTTTTTCACCAGTGCTCCCAGTATTGGATTTATATTTAAAAATATTGGCTAGATTAGTAAACATACTATGTTATTTCAGGTTCATACTGGCTTACTAGCAAGGGAAAATGAATATTACCAGCTGTATGTACACTAACTTTACCTTATCTGATTTGTCTATTATACCAATTTCCCTTCACGACCATTAATTTTAAATAATTATTTTCAGAATATTACCAAAATATTCGTGATGCCAGTCACTTAAGAATAATTGACTTGAATTAGAACTATGAATAATAGTAGAAAGCTGAAACTTGGTGAACCAAAATTATGAAAGATCACCTCTCTCCTTACACTCATTTTATTACTAAAATCTATACAACTTCTTTTTAACAATGCCCATCCCATATGTCAGTTTGCCTACTAGGCATACCCACTTAGATATGTCATAATATCAGCATAGAATAAACAAACTTCGTCATCTTCTAATTTTTTCTTCGTGCAGATTCCTTGTACCAGTGAAAGGCACTGCTATCAAAGAATCTCCCGTTATAGACCCTAGGGGTCATCCTGGATACTTAGCTTCTCACATTTTTCTGGTTATAAGTTCAAATAATTCTTTTTCCTAAATAACTTTTAGAGCTGTTCCTTCCTCTCTGTTTTATCTACCAGTGTTTAGTATAGCCCTTCATATTTTTTCCTCCGGAATCACTGCAGTAACCATTTAACTGTGTTCTCTCTTCCAGTTTTGTATCACTTAATATATGCTCCATACTGCAGCTAAACTCACCTTTCTAAAATAAAATCAGATCATGTTTCATTGGTCCCTTATAAATTCAACATATGTTTGAAATACTTTAGCATTATTCATTTGGTTCTTCATGGTCTGGTCACTGGCTATTTGTATGATATACTACTCTCCAGGACACTGTAAGCCCCAGGGGAGAAATATATATATAATATATACAACTTTCTGTTCAAAGATTCTGATAAGCTCTCTAACATAGGTTTATTTTTTATTATACTTCACCCAAAGCCTCAACTATGTTTACTCTACCTTCTTCAACTGGGCTAGGGACCTTGATCCTTGGTATTTAAAATGTAAATGATTTTATACATTTTACTTCATTGTGAATCTATAAAGTAAAACTAGTTTGATTCCTGCAATTACAGTACAAATGGTTTTCTGTATTTTTATTCTTTTTGAAAGAGGTGCTTAAGGCAAATCTTGTGACTTCCATTTATTCTTACAGAGAACAACCCAGTTTGAGTTGTCTAATGTTACCAATCTCTTGTAAACAATTTTAATACAGAAGTTAATTATAGTGAATTTATCCTTGGAAGCCAATCATCAAATATTTTGCTGATAAAAATATATGCCTACCTAGAGGCAATTTTGCATCTGCTTATATTATTAACTAATTTTCTCCAAGAGGACCATTTTCAGGCACCCTTAAATATTATTGTTATATGATAACATTTACTGATGTTATGTGCCATATGGTTTTTGGCTGGTGTCCTAATGCAAAAGAAAGAATACAGCCAGGATATTTTAAAGAATAACAATCTTATATAATAAATTTATGAGCAATTTAATTTCATTTTAGTGTTATTTCATTTTGAACTGTCTTAAATATTTACACCTGAAGCATTATATTTTGCTCCATGTTTAAATCAACCTAGGGACAAAGTATACATTAAGAAGCTATATATTTTATTAAAAGTGTATACACATAATTTTAGAGTTTTAAAATTTATCTTGATTAATCTAAATTAATTAGTCTATTTTAATCTAATTTTAAAACTGTCAGAGCATAATTTTAATCAAACCACATGCCAATTAAATTGAACTTCCCATTGAATTCCGAGCACTGCCAACTGTAATCACTCATATAGTAAAAAGCTAAGCACAGTGTCCAGCACATGGAAAGTGTCTGGTGAATGATGAGTAGAACCATCATTGGCACTTGTAAGTATGAGAAATGGTACCATTACTACTTGATAATGGAGGAAGAAGAGAAGGGAAAAGAGGAGAAAATGTGAGGAAGGAGGAGGAAAGAAATGGTGAAAGAATAAGGCAAAAATGAACAGGAGAAGCAAGTTGAGAAGAAGACAAAAAAGGGGAGGCAGAGTAGAGAGAGGATAGGGAGAGATGCAGCTAATAGACTATATAGTCAATGTTTCCCGGAACAAACAAGTTGTTTTGGGGAGTAAAAAGAATCAACAAAAAGAACTGAAATTTAAACAAGTATTAGTTGTCTTACAGTATTTGTTGCCTCGGCATTTTCAACACAGGGCCATGCGCTCATGTTGATGCTTTCATGTAAATAAGTATGTGCATAGTATCAAACATAGATCAACTATTTCCTTTGACTGCTGTATTGTTTTAGTTTAAAAAAATGTGATAGGGTGGTTTGAGCCATTAAAATAATGCATGGAGATTTCTTAAGCTATAAAGTAAGTAATATCTAGCAGTATTCAATTGTATTCATAACAGAATACAATTTTGGATAAGATTTCTGGTCTCACTATGTTATTTATTCTACGTTTTAAATTGGTGCATTATTTAAAAATTGCATTTAAACAGAAATTGTCACAAAGATTTATTAGCTGATGCTTGGCATTTTCACACTTCATGAAGTGTCCTTTCAAAGGAATATTTATAAGGCCCTATTTCAGAACATCTATTTTCATTTTACATGGATAACTTTTTTTATTGTAAGTTAAACATAGATTTTCAACTCTACAACAATATTATCTAGCTATAAAGTCAGTGTATGTAAAACAATAAAATAACATAAAATGAAAATATGTGAATAATTTAACACGGGAAATGAGTTTCAGGAAAAATTATAGACTGCTAAATAGAAATTATTTATATAAATAACACATATTGAATAGAGATAAAAATTCACCCCCCACACACACACACACACGCACACACACACACACACACAAGAATTCAGGTGTTCAACAAGATGTCCAACTTGCATGGATTGCTGGTTAATATTTGTAAAAGTAATGCTGAGAACAAAATAAGGAGAGAAAGACAGAATCCAAGATCTAACAAGAAGAATAACAGAAATAAGTCTATTTTAAATGTTTCTGTGTGAAGAGTGAATGGGTGGCCACAGCTTAGGGCAAAGAGAAGCCAGAGACAGCATCGGAAGGACAGTTTAAATTCTCCTTTACCTCTTGCCATCCCACCCTCCCATCTCCTTGTTTTTGGACAATCAATGCCTATCTTCTTTTCCTCAAACTACAGTTGTGAATATTTATATTGGCAGGGGTTTTTCTGGGTGAGGTGAAAGTATGTGGGGGCTGACATGCCAGAGACATTCAGTCCTTTACTTCTGAAATCCAGTTTCCAAGCTTTACAGATTACAGCTTTGTAAAACTGTCCTTTCCTTACATTCTCTTCCCAAAGGATTTAGGAGTGAAATTCTGAGTAGAGTCGTTTCTTGCTTGGTCATTGTAAAATCAAGTAATAACTCTGGTTGGTGGTGTGTGGGACTTTCTGTTAGAAAGCCCATGTCCTATGCCCTAACTCCCACATATATACACCTTGGACTACTCTAGACTGACAGTGACTATGGTCTGGCCTTTGGTCTTTCTCCAACACCAAAAAGCCAATATTGCACAGATAATATGAGCTCACAGGCCAAACGAAGTAGGTGCCTGAGAATAGTAGTACTCAGAAGTTTAGTCCAAAAGATATACAACTAACTGAACAAAATAAATGCCCTCTGTAATCACAGTATTAATACAGCAATCTAATCATTTTATATAAATGTGATATACTACAGTAAATGAATAAACAAAGAAAAGAAAAATTCATAGTACTAGAAGTAATATTCCAGGCATTAGTAATGCAATGGGAGGTGAAGAGAACACAAGGCGAAATAAATGTGGTATACTAATGTGTTCCTTTCATATTATGGAAGATAAAGTCATTTACGCATTTAAGAAATAGAAGTGATTATATATGTATTTTTTAAGTTAAGAAATCAATAATAAAATCGGCCTACATAACTGTTAAACACCACAAGAAAATTTTCTAGAATTGAATTAGGAAGTCCAGGATATGGGAAAAAATTAGAAATTAAAATAAATGAAGATGGATTAAGCTAATCAAATACAAGACAAAGATACTAAATTGAAGACGTGAGAACAAAATCCAACAATGTGCTGTATGTATAATGTTCCACAGAAATATGGAAAATAAAATAATTGATAATATATACCTAATAAATATAAATCAAAGGAAAGCTGGAGTAGTAATGCTAATTTCTGAAAAGCAGGCAAATAAGCAAAATCCTTCTTTGGATGGTTTACAGCTTTATGTGACTTTACATATTCTTTGTATATGTAATCCTAATCTAGTCAAAGTTTTAAAAAGGAATAATGCAAGGAGAGGGGCTAGAAAATAAAAGCAGGATGAGAAATGTAAAATTAAAGGTCTACTGCCAGTAAAGATATAACAGTATAAAAATAAGCCTTTCTTAATTATCAAAAAAACTCTACCCATGTGTAGCAATTCTCAACTTCAGATTTTGTGAAGCCAGTAATTAAATACACTTTAGATAAATGTATTTAAAATCTAACACTACGTTTAACAAGATAAAAAACAAATTTTTATTTTACTTTGCTGGATGATGCACATTAATAAAATGAGTTACATGGATTAAAATGAAGAAGGTGGGGAAGAGAATTTTCTTTTTCAGTTTGCCACTACAGCAAGAATGAAGTTGGTTTAGCAGTGTAGACTACTCTCCAGTATAGATCTTGTTGATATTACATTTGTAGGTAGCATTTAAGTTCTTTAAGGAACTGTCAAAATGATGTATGTCAAACAGTAAAACTTTAGAGCAGTATTTGAAATTATTGATCAGCAAAAGAAAAATACCTTGCAAAATAGGAGTGAATGTACTGTTAACCTTACACTTTTTTCACATAAATGAAAACCGCACTCTTAGGTTGAATTCAAGGAAACCAGCTGGTAAAAGAGAGAAAATAAATGCCAGATATAGTGGTTGTGCTGATTTTTCTTCTTATTTCACTTGCCAGAAGAAAAAAGTATTTTGATACATTGGCATATATCAAAGGAGTCCTCACCCTCAGAAATATTTTAGTCTTAAGGTAAATTTATATCATTCAGCTGATCTGATTAAACCCACAATTAGTATTTATCAAAGTAATTTCTTGTATTGTAAAATAATATGTACTTCCACAGGCAAGCATTTTTAAATCCTTATAAATAATTTAAAAATTAGATATGTATATAATATATATTACCAGTACTATAAAAATAGTATTTTTAAAACATTGTTTTAATTTAAAGTTAAATGAAAACACAAAATTGAGTTAATCTTTGTGTTTACTTGACATTGACATTATATAAATATATTTGATTAGCCACTTATTAATAATATCCCTTTGTATATAGAATAAACCTTACTCTTAGTATACTATATTAATTCTACATTTTAAAATACATTCATAAGACTGACCAATTCACTTGGTTTTTTATTTATTTTAGTTTGATTATTTATATATTTTTATTATTTGCTTTTTCTGTTTCACTCTCAAAATAGATTACATTTTTGTTAAGTTTCCTAACTTTATTTGGAAATTATCTAATTTACATGAATCTATGTTAGTAGTTCACAGATGCCAAGAATCTACATCAGGATATTATTGTTACTTTGCTATGTAATGTAACTATAGTCTCTTATGGGTCTTATTTAAAATGATATTTACATTGACTTGTTTTACTCATACAGATTATAGTAGAGTAGTTTTTTACAATTTTTTCTGAAGTTATGTGCCTTATCTAATGCTAGACATTAGAGTTCACACAAACCAATGTCAAACCAAAACAAAATAAATCAAAATATTATTGCTTGGAATCCTCAGAAACAGATGACTCTGAGATGAGAATTCCTGTGAAAGTGATTTATTAGGAAGTACTCTGAGGAGAACTAACAGCAGTAGAGTGAGGAAGTCAGGAAAACAGAAGTACATCCAAAGGACTGCTTCAAGATCTCAGAGGGTGGCTTTGGCTTCATCCCACAGGAAAGCTCTGGAGAAAGGGAAATCTCATTTCAGAATTGTCCCAGTCCAGGCCAAGTCATTGGTGAAGAGAGCAAAGCTGGGCATGCCCATGTTTTTCAGGCTCTCAGTGTCTGCAGGCAATGTAGGCCTTAGTTTCCTAAAGCTAAGGACAGCTCACTGACAAAGACAGTCCGGTACTGGCTGCTTAGAGTGAGCATTCACCTGGAGCACATGTGCACACACCCACACACAAAAAGGTAAAATAATGTAAGGGGATATATATGAACACAGCACCAGTAGCATCTGCTACAATTTATCCGGATAGGAGTTTAGAGTCTAATCCTTAAAGTGTGAGATGAGGAGTCTGAAGCCCAGGGAAATAAAATACATTTTTCATAGACACATATCTAGGAAGCGACAAACCAAATATCGGAATCCAGGTCCCCCCTACTTTATGTCATGTCACATTCAATGACAATATTCTGTCTACAATAGTAACTCAATTTTTGTTGTTTCTTATAATCACTGTTTTTGTGCATTATTAAACACCATAATTTTTCCTAGAGTACACGGAGGCAATTTTGACTTTTTTTAAAATCTAGAAAGATTTTTGCTATTCAACAAAAGAAATTGTGATTCAACAGAGTTTTCTATTGAGCATAAAAGAAAATATGCTCTTTATGCCTGCAATATTTACTTTTAGGCATCACTAATAAGTTTAAGCTATTTTCAAGTATTTTTTGAGCCTATCTACTTTTCATACTTTATTGTGCTACCCATACTGTCAGCTACTATTTCAAATAAAGAAGAGCTGATTTTGAGGAACTGAGTTTTTAAAGAAAACATTAAAAGATTATATGTGTGCAAATATATACACATATATCTTGTTAGAATGTATGACACTGCTAGCATAATGTCATCAAGGATCATCCATGCTATGTAAAACGGCACATCTCCTTTCTTAAGGCTGAATAATATTCCATTTTATGTATATACCACAGTTCCTTTGTCCAGTTATCTGTTGATGGATATTTAAGCTGTTTCTGCATCTTGGTTACTGTCAATAATACTGCAACATTTATTCATTAAAAAAAATTTGCTCTAGCAGTTTCCCTAATGGGCTTATCCTTCTCCATTCCTGTTTTTGTGTATAGTATTTCCCAAAGTATTGAAAACAGTTCTAGATTCACAGAAATTAATCATCTGAGTAAGGACTAACTGCTGTGAAGAAACAATAGTCAGGTTTGTCTAATATTACTTAACTTGCGTGGGGAGAAGGAGGGGTAGGAGAGAGTGAGTCAATAAGAGAAGCAGAATTCATCATCATTATGTGTTGTTACCATTACATAAATTTCTTACACCCAGTAGATAATTAAGGCTTTTTAATTCTATAACTTGGCAGGTTCCGAGATTCTCTGTATTTTGAGAGTAAAAGTAAAATAATAGCAGGAAATGTCTGTGGAATTCAGTGTATGAATTGAAATCATTTGTAAATGGAATTCTTATTCATAACAATATACTGATTCTTTCACGCAGTTGACAGTTTTTCTCAAGTGATGTTGATACAACTTTTTTGTATATCTTGATTTCTTCCGTTCTTTTACCTTTGTAGAATATTGATCACGTATTATTTTTAACAGTAAAATTGGACTATCTGACAAACTATGACATTGCTATGTGACACTAAATGCAATTTGACTTTTAGAAATATTTCTGATATTTCATCCATGAAATTTCTAGTCAAATGAAAATGAAAATACAAATTTTGATAGCTATCTACTGACCCTGAAAAGGAGGACTAAACAATTGCTCAATATAGAGTTAAAAAGCTTTACTAATGCTATAGTAACATCAAGTGACCCTGTACTGGATAGAAAATTGAAAACATCTGTTCTGTTTCTCGCTCTTTATGTTACTTACATCTCAAAACAATTTTTTTTCACTTGTATCTCTAGGCCCACTTTCAAAGGACTTAACTTGATTTTGAATGAAAAGACATGCAGAAATGTTAACGCATTTCCTCAAAGTTACAGGTGATTATTTTCCCATTTAATTAGTTAAAATACTGGTATTGTTTTATTTTATTCATTTTAAATTGTTACCAGAGATTTTTTTTGTGGCAAGCAACAGAGGTTATCAAATTGTTATATATAAAAACAAAACTGTAAGTCAGGGCTAAGTCTCCATTATATTTTCAGAAAATAGAAAGGATTGTTTCTCTGAATTTGTTTTATTGCCTTCTTGTTCACTACTCTTTCTACTCTTGCCCTTTCAAAGTATATTTAAATCAAGGAAGGGTACTCGATATTAAAGCATAAAGAGTAGAATAAATCAGTAATAAAATAGTGTGATAAATTAGGAATATAAAAGTGTTTTCCTCTTTAATCTACTTTTTATATATCCCCATGTGCTGTTTCTCACTGGCATTAGAGCTGATTTTTTTGAATTCAACTGTAATGAAGAAGTATTTAATGCACAGTAGCATTAAGTTATTTTCAAGATAATAAAGAAAATACATAAAAATGTAGTTGTGTATTTACTATCATCAGTATAATTATGTATTCTGAATTCTTCCAAAGTCTGTAACTATATTACCTCAATTTAATTATAACTTATTTTGTCATTTTATTTTTACATGGGCTTTTTACAACTTTTTCTCCGTTGCACCCACTACATTTTTGCTTTTCTCATAACTAAATTCCAGATGTGTTGATCTCTCTGTCATTGTTGATTTCTAATTATTGTGTTTTTGTTGTTGTTGTTTTGTTTTGTTTTTTTGAGATGGAGTCTTGCTCTGTCGCCAGGCTGGAGTGCAGTGGCGCGATCTCAGCTCACTGCAACCTCTGCCTCCCGGATTCAAGCAATTCTCCTGCCTCAGCCTCCCAGGTAGCAGAGACTACAGGTGCGCACCACCACGCCTAACTAATTCTTGTATTTTTTGTAAAGACAGGGTTACACCATGTTGGCCAGGATGCTCTTGAGCTCTTGACCTCGTGATCTGCCTGCCTTGGCCTCCCAAAGTGCTGGGATTACAGGCGTGAGCCAACGTGCCTGGCCAGTGTGGTTTTTTAAAAATTAGATTTAACATCTCTTCTAGATATTCTGGAAATTGGAATTTCTGAGGTTCCCGAATATATGAATTTATAATTTCATTTAGAATAGAGAGAAATGGTGCAAGAATAGATTTGAAGCTTGTCTGATTTCTGTAACAAATTGCCCAAGAAGTTAACCTTCAATTTACCCAGTAACAAAAATGCACTGGAATCATTTTGCACAACTTCTTGCACATGGTGAGAAGGTAGGCAAGGAACCAGGGTCTGTTGAAAGTCAAGCAGGGGTAAATAAAAAAGATACAGCATCTTTCTCTCTCTCTCCCCACACTCTTCTCAAAAATAGAAAAGGTGAGTTTTGTTATTTATGGAATCTTTATTCCCTACTGGTAGTATCCTCAGCCAGTATAATTCTTCTTGGTGGCCTGAATCTGGAAAATCTTAATTCTACCTAAGATTGTCTTTATTGTATTCTGTATCACATAACCAGAAACCTGATGCCTAAAAAATGGAATTAAAAAGAAGCTGAGGGTAGGTTTTATATACTTCATCATTAAGGAAGGTTTATATCTGTGTGTGTATAAATCTCCTTCCCTTTTAAATCTCCTCATTAAAATGTTTTCATTTGGTAGGTCTATTGGTCTTCTTCTAAGTAGTTTCAATGTGTGTAATACTTGTTGGATACTGAAAAACAGGAGAAATAATTTGGCTGGAGAATGCTTAGACATTTCTGACCCCATGAGGATTACAATGAGTTCAGTACAGAACTGATTTTCTTTTTTCAATTCAGTAGACACAGAATTTTTTAAGAAATATTCTTTATAATGGTAGCTTCATAAGACTGAGGTCTCTGTAGTTCTTTCTTTGTCAGGCAACCTCAGGCAAGTTTACAAACCTCTTTGCGTTTCAACTTTCTGATCAGTAAAACGAGGATAATCACAAATAGTACTGTTCTGAGGATTAAATAAGAAAATCTAGTACATTATAAATATTCTGTATGTATTTTTATTACAATTTTTACTAACAGTGATTATTACCTATCTTAGAGTTTACAATTTAGAGATAAAGATCTTCTTACAAGTTAACATATACAACTGTATTATTTCAGAAATATCTTAACATCTGCCAAAGAGAAATTTTCTCCCCCAATGGTGTTTAAAATTCACTGAAACAGTGACAGGCATTTCTGGGGGAGGTAGCTCACTTAGGCTGATAATTATTGTGTTTAAGAACAAGAAGATGATTTTTTTTCCATGATAAGAAAAGACTGAAGCTGAATCAGAACCTGATGCCTGAAAGATGGAATTAAAAAGAGGCTGAGGGCCAGAAAAGATGGTAGGAGGGTTAAAGGAGCCTACCTCTGCAAATTGGGAGGTACCATGAGTTATTTTTGTCTAGTTCATAATTTTCTCAAGGAGAGCTTCAACTAAGTTACTTAAAAGGTGAGAGGCATGCCTAACCTCAGAATATGAATCCCAATCCTGTTGTACCAGCAGCCAACACCTTTGAGACTTTGATCATCTGACTAGGAAGACTTGCCCTGATATGAGACCTCAGGGAGTGGAGGTCACTGGAGAACACCAATGAGGAACAGCTCTTGGGGGCAGGAGGTGAGGGACTGCAAGGTGACTGACTTACCTCAGACAATGAACTGACACCAAGATGCAGAAGTGTCAGTGACAGGATTGAGAAAAAAAATGAGCAAAAGGATCAGGAAGAGAACATTTGGAATGAAAAGAGTAAGAAACAAGGAATTTGTAGTAATGGGATTAGTAATGATGGTAGCTGAATTCTTCCTAATTTGGCAGATTTGCTGTAACAGTTGATGATTTGATTTATGTATCTGATAAATTCAGCATTTCATTAAGAGACTTTCTGTCACTCAAGAGGTGGTTGTAATGCCTTCTTTTAGCACTGATCATATTTTTTCACAAATGCCATCTCCTATCATTGTCATCTTTTCCTCAACTCCATCATCGTTCCAGCACACCAAATAATGACCTTATGGCTAAAAATATATCTCAGAAGAATATTCTCTATTCTCTAAGGGCCAAAAAGGAGAAACATCCCTCTTGAGCTCACAAAATTAAAAAGGTACTTCCAAATAAATTGCCCAAAATTTTAAAAGAATTTCTAACTCACAGAATCACAATAGTTGTTACTATATAGGGCAGGTCAGAAATTCTGTATCATAAATTGTAAATTCTCTATTGCCATCTTGTACATTTCAATAAATTCAATTATATCATCTTTTCAACAGTCTTCAATATTCAGAAATACAAAATCATACATGTTGGGTAACACATTTTCCTTCCTTTTTCTTTCAGCAGGTATGCTCTTTCTGGCTTGTTTTGGTGTTGGTAATGTATTACTGAGAATACTGCAACTGTGTGATGATGCTTTGAAATATATAAATGCACTGCAGTTTGTGAAGGAGTCTCATGGTTATTGATTTCCTCTGAGAAAAAAAATTATGTGACTTTGTCTTACTATAAGTTTTTCAATGATGTCACCTAAGAGGTACAACATTTTACCTTTAGTTCTTTATTATAATGCAGAATGAGACAAAATGAGTTTATGCTTTTAGTAGAAGTCATATATTAAAATATAAAAGTTCTAACTCTATTGTAATTGAATTTAAAGGACAAAGATCATACAAATGTTCTCATTTTTTATTTCACAACAGTATTGTTGTGCAATCTTCTATTGCCTATATTTCAAAAATCATCCTTCTTTATCTGCCCATTGCTTCAATCTATAAAATGCTGAAATCTTTCCTATCTTTTAAAAGGAAAAATCACTCCTCTTCTGGAATCCTCATTTGTTTGTTTTTCACCTTCCAGCCAAATTTTACAAATTGTAGTTTACACTAAGTCTGTTCCACATTTGGTAGGTACTCTTTAATAAAATTATCAGAAAATATTTCAAGCTTATAGAAACACATTTTAAAATAGATATGGACTCACTAAGCAGGTTTGTCAAATTTTAACATTTTTTTCTGCTCCTTCAGAATTTTTTTATAAAACAGAAATAAAAAGAGACATTTTTCAAGTCTTCTGTATAGAGCTATCCAATTTACCACTTTCTCTAGCTAGAATTAATAGATAATTTGATGCTTACTTTCCTGGAGATTTTAATAATTTTACTTCATATGTATATGACCACAGACAATATGTATATAAATTGATTATATATATTGATATCAACATGTGTATGTGCGTGTGTGTATATACATGTATCCCTTCTCCATGGGTGCTTCCTGTTGCCCCTAAATGGGGCTACTTTTACACATTTTTCTTAATTCATTACAACTTGCTTTATTTAATTTTAAAATAAATACTTTTGTAGAATGTACTATATGCCAAATATTATGCATGCAAAATCTTTTTTGTTCATCTTGGCATGATTTCAGTATCACTTGTGGGTCTACAAGTCCCAAATTCATTGTAGTGACCTCTCCATTGAGAGCTAGTCATCTGTGCCTATCTGCATTTGGATATAGCTATCCAGAGGTCTCTTAGATACTTAAAATTGAACATGATTAACTCATCAGTCAGCCTCCTCTACCCCTCACTGACTCTTCTTCCTAATTTATGAATATCAGAAATGGCTTCACATGTCACTCAGTTACCTTATATTAGAGGTCACCTTGCATCCCTCTCTAATTAGTCACCAATCTCTGATGATTTTAGCTCTTCAACAATTTCTAAATGCATTTCCCTTTCTCCTTCTTTCTTTCTCTCCAATTGTCCTTATAAGGTCCTTGCCAACTTTCTGTATTATTTCAATTTTGTTATGTTTAATTTCACCCTATAGCCTTCAGATATATTCCATCTGAAAGAGGAAGTGGCTTCAAATAGCTTCCACAGCATGAAGCCAAAGCACCTCACGGTGACAGAATGACAGAAGGCTCTCTGCTAACTGGCACCTGCCTTTTCCTAAGCTACATCTCTGCCACTCTCCACTTTATAATTCTCTCGATTAACACTGAATTATTTTTAGTTCTTGATGTATATCTGGCTATTTTAGGACTATGTACACTTGCCATTCATTCGACCTAAAAAAAAAATCTCAGACTTTCTTCACTTGTCTTTTTCATCCTTTAGGGATCTCTTGCTTTGAGAGTGGACAGAATTTCTTTTTTACTCCATATTGTCATTCTTTATGTGTCCCAAACACACTATTCCTGGCACACTGTAGTGTCAATATAAATATTAGTGAAAATTTAACTGAATTTAAATGTACCATTTTTAGTAAATATGCATATTTTGAAAATAAAACAAAGTTTTGTGGGCCATTTCATATAAAGTTAATGGTTTGTCATTGATGATAACATCATCTCTACTAGGTCTATGGAAACAACCTGTAGTTGTTATCTTTAGTTTACTATTGCCATGAATTATAGTGACAGGTTTATTCAAACTTTATTATTGACTAAAATTCAGTGAAACAGCATAATATGGTGCTATGACTATGAGTTCAGGAGTCATACTGGAGGGGTTTAAATTGTAGCTTTACCACTTACTACATGTGTGTTGATAGAAAGGTTACTTACCTCTCTAGACCTAGCTTTTCTCATCAGTCTAACTGGGATAATATTAGAAACTACTGTATAGAATTGTTCTAAACATAAAATGTTCTAAACATAAAGTACTTGATAAATATTGCTCTAAACATGAACATAAATATTGTTCTAAACATGAAGCGCTTGATAAATACTGCCTACTATTTCTGTGATACTTTTTAATTCATCACTAGATTTAATTTACAAATATTTGACCGAGAAATTATGTAACCTATTCCTAAGTGAAGTTGCGTATATTTGAGGGGGGAAGCCTGGCTTTGTTTTTTTTCAGTGTTAAAGTTAGATTCAAATCATAGAATGAATTAGAAAAAGCTATTCAGTGTTTTCTACAATATAAAAGTAAATGAGCAAAATAAGAGCTACTCATTATTCTTTAATGATTAGATAGAGCTCAGTTATAAAAGTATTGGCTCTTTTAACTATAATTAGTTAAGAACCTTTCCAATTTATTTTCAAGTTTTAAAAGCATTTTCACACGTATTAACTCATTTGAGCCTCACAGCAGCCTTATGATATAGACAGTTCAGGCATTATATTCACAGCATATAAATGAAAAATATAAAAGTTTCAGAAAAAAATGCCCAGTATAAAATACTTAGTAAATACTAAGTGTGTCTTGGCTCTCTATGTTCTGCTTGCAAACCAATCTTTGTATTCACAATTTTGTGCTTTGTTTAGGGTTTCTCAATGCTGTGCATATGTGTGTATTCATTTGTGAGCTAGTTTACACAGGCAGATGTATCCATTCATGTCCCTTCGTAAATTTGTGTCAATGACTTTAGCTCCTTATTATGACTAGGTATATATGTGATGTATTTTCATTCACATTTTGCTTTGATGTTGGAAGAAAAATAAAGGACTGTGAAAGAGGATAACGTGACTAGCTGATATTATATAACAAATGTTGTCTTCATATTTTGAAGAAAAGCATTAAATATTGAAAATATCCAACTTTATTATAACACAATTGATGAAATTTCTAATTTTCTATTCTTTGAAATTACTAGATTCCAAGGGTTTAATGTAGTAGTTATTTCTTCAGGCCAAGAGCAACTGTCTAGAATTTGAAAACTTTATATTGCAAAGGTATCATCATAAAACATATTCGCATTGCTGCTTCTCCTGCAGTTCAGCTGCAGTGAGTTGAATTTTGAGAGTGGAATAGACAGGGGAAGAGTAGGGAGATGAAGTGGGATTCATCTATAGGTGTTTTTTGTGTATGTTTTTCTTTTTCTTTTTGAGACATGGTCTTACTCTGTCACCCAGCTTGGAGTGCAGTAATATGATCTTGGCTCACTGAAACCTCTGCCTCCCAGGCTCAAGCAATCCTCCCACCTCGGCCTCCTCAGTAGCCAGGACCACAGGCGTGTGCCACCAAGCCTGGCCAATTTTTTGTTGTTGTTGTTGCATTTTTGGTAGAGATGGGGTTTCACCACATTGCCCAGGCTGGTCTCAAACTCCTGAGCTCAGACAGTCCACCCGCCTTGGCCTCCTAAAGTGCTGGGATTACAGGTGCAAGCCACCACATCTGGCAGTGTGTGTACATATGTTTTTCTTTAAATTGAGGATAATCATAAGGACCAAAAGGTCTTGGAGTTATCTCAAAGTAATCTGTTTGGGAGTTTTCTTTCTATTCCCCAAACTAAATGTGAATTACTGTTTTCTAGTTCACTTTTAAAATCTCTTTCCCCCCTCTCTCTCTCTCTGTCTGTCTGTCTGTCTCAGTCTCTGCCTCTCTCCTCTCCTGCATGTGTGTGTATGTTTATACTTTCAAAGTATTTTAAGATGAGAAAGATGGCATTGTGGAAACGAGTTTGAGGTTGATATTTAAGAGTGTAAAATTGTATAGTGAAAGTATAAACTTTAGGTTTTTAAGAAACATGATGTTTTCTTTTTCTTTTTAAAAATTTTTAAAAACTCATATAAGAAATCATACTTATGTTTACTAAAAACACTTAAGCATTTTTTTTTTTTTTAATTTTTAGGGAGGTGGCCAAGATGGTCGACTAGAAGCAGCTAGTGTGCGTGGCTCTCTCGGAGAGGGGCAAAAGGGGCAGGTAAATTCAGCACCTTCAACTGAAACATCTAAGTACTTGCATTGGGACTAATAGAGGAAACAACTCAACCCATGGAGAATGGAGAAAAGCCAGGCAGGATGACGGCCCACGCAGGCATGACACAGAGACAAAGTAACCTCCCCAGCCCAGCGAAGTGCCTTCAATGGTGATACCTCCAGGTACAGGAAAATCTGAGGTGACTAGAGACTGAAGTGGGCCCCCAGCATACCTCAGCAGCCCTACAGAAAAGTGGCCAGATGTACATTGGTGCCCACATTTCCTCACCAGACAGTTCCTCTGGGACTGGGCTTCCAGCCACCTCTTGCCAGAGCTGAGTGAGTAGAAACTTGGCAACTCCCTGGACAGAGCCTCCAAGGGCAACTGAAAGCCTCTCTGCCACTGCCTCTGCAGTGGAACTGCTCTTGCTTCCCTTGGAGTAATGAAGTAGCAAAGACCCCAAGTGCTTTACCTACACCTCCAATAAGCTGCAGTTGACCCAAAGAGAGGAGGTAGTTAGTCTCCCATGGGTCCCACACACCTCCAACTGCTCATCACCAGACAGGGAACCTCTGGCTTGGACCCACAGCATAGCCCCTCCATCCTGGGCTGACTGCACTGAGTGATTACTGACCCGTATCTCTGGTGTGGAGCCCCCAGGAGACAAGCAAAAGTCCCTTAGCCATAACTACTACTAAGGTTCCTTCCTCTGGTGTTTCCAGGTTGGGGAAGAAACATAAGGACTGAGATCACCGGAGAGATACAGTGGGCAGCCCAGGAGTGCCAAGCCACCTTCTACAGCCAGCACTCAATGGGAGAGGAACCCACACTTTCAGAGAGCATTGAGAAAGAAAACAGTTACAACTGAGAGGAAACAGGGGAGCCACATAGCTGGACAAGAGTCTACCAGCTGACCAGTATGCCTAAGTGCCACCTACTGGATCACACCCCAAAGCTTCAACACAAAAAATACTTTGCTAGCATACTTTCTTCCAAAACCAGAGACAAAAAATCAGCTTCAAATAAAAACCTTGCACAAAGCCTCGGCCTGGTGAAAACATCCAGAAAATAAGTCTATTGACTGTATCTATACTGCATCTATACTGTATCTATTGACTCAATCTATATTGCAGTTAAAGGAACACCCATACACAGAGATGAGAAAGAACCCATGCAAGAACTCCAATAACTCAAATGTCTAGAGTGGTATATGTCCTCCAAACAACTGCACCAGTTCTCCAATAAGAGTTCTTCTTTCTTCTTTCTTCCTCTTCTTCTTCCTCTTCTTCTTCTTTCTTCTTCTTCTTTCCTCTTCTTCTTCCTCTTTCTTCTTTCTTCTTTCCTCCTCCTCCTCCTCCTCCTCTTCTTCCTCCTCCTCCTCCTCCTCTTCTTCTTCTTCCTCTTCTTCTTCTTCCTCTTCTTCTTCTTTCTTCTTCTTCCTCTTCCTCTTCCTCTTCTTCTTCTTCTTCTTCTTCTTCTTCCTCTTTTATTATTATTATTATACTTCAAGTTCTAGGGTATATGTGCACAACTTAACCAGGCCAAGCTGGCTGCAATGACAGGAATAGAATTTGGAATTTGGCTAGGAACAAAGATCATCAAGTTTCAACAGGAAGGCAAAACCCAATCTAAGGAAAATAAGAATCACAATAAGGCAATACAGGGGGTGAAGGACAAAATAGCCAGTATAAAAAGGAACCTAATAGGTCTGACAGAGCTGAATAACGCAAAACAAGAATTTCACAATGCAATCACAAGTATTAACAGCAGAATAAACCAAGCTGATAAAAGAATCTCAGAACTTAAAGACTGGTTAACTGAAATAAGACAGTCAGACAAAAATAAAGGCAGTGAAGTTATGTGATGGGACAACTGTTCAAACACACTGAATGCTCAAACAAGAAAATTGCTAGACAGGGAGCAAAACCTCTGGAGGTAATGCCATTGAGGATATTTGGAAGAGTACTTTTCTTAAAGCATCATTTTTGGTTATGTTAAGAAGGAAATGAAATGGACATTTCTGTTCAAAAAAATGCCAATAATAGTGGATAGCTGTTTGGTAATTACTATATGACCAGAGCTATTCTAAATGTTTCACAATTATTAAGTCACTTAATTCTCACAAAACTATTATGTACTTTTCTAATTATCACATAGGAAATCAGAGGTACAGACATAAATATTTGATCTAAGGTCACAAAACTAGTCAGTGGCATAGTTGAGATTCAGACACAGAACATCCACTTCTAGAGTACATTTGCATCTCCATTGAGGAAAGATTAATATCTTAAGCGAGTTTTTAATTTGTGCAGGGACACAGAGCTGAGATCAAAGTAACTATAGTGTAAAGATTTTCAGGGTAGGGGTATGAGAACATATAGCAACATGGAGCTCTCATTTTGATATTTTAGACCATGCACTTTAGACAAGCCTATCTTCCCAGATATATTATTCATTTAGCATTTCTCAACACCCCAAGAGTAGAACAGGGGAAGTGAAAAGACCTATTAATCTAAAAGTGAGATTTTCTGAATGTGCTTGCACTCTGTACCCAAATAGAGGTACAAATGAATTAAGAATATAGATGAAAATAATAAGACTTAGCAGGAAATTTTAAAAGGCCAAAATAAGACATAGACTGAGAGAATCTGAAAGGACAGGGACTTCAAGGCATTGCGGATGGCTTTAGAAGAATTACAAGGACAGGGGCTCATGGTTATGGAGTAGGATTTTGGTGTGTAAGATAGCTAGATAGCATGGTCTATGTTATGGTAACACCTAGACTTTTGGAACATACAGCTGTGGCTGAATAAAAGAGAAGGTCATTAAGGATAAATAGTCCATAAAAGTGAGACTTAGTTTCAGTTTCACAATGGATCACTGTGATTTTCTAGGATGATAGCAAAAGGGAGAATGGAAGGGAACACAAAAAGCCAGCAACTGCCTTGGCTTATTTCCCATGATAATGCACACATTACATCTGAGAAAATGGAAGCTTGCTGGACATGCCAAAGTTCCTCCCATTAGAATGTATAATTTGGATAGTAACTGATGTTTTTTTCCACTAAAACTAAAGGGACTAATGTGACTAAGGGACTAAAATAGCTAAAGAAAGACTACTTGAAAGAGACTAAATTGAGCAAAGCTTAGAACCAAATCTTATTGGGTTTAGTGCCACTGATGTAGTGGTATCATGCAAGATCTCCAAATCTTAGTGGGTTTGTTTTCTCCCGTTTACTTCTGTTTTTTTTTTTCTTTTTTTTTCCTTCTATTCTCCATTCCTTAATATATCTTCAATCAAATGCATCTGGGTATATTTAGCAGCAGAGTGGGGGAAAATAGATTTGTTTTTATTCAGCAAATTATCTGTGTCAGAGTCTTTCTTAGTCAACATTTAAAAATGAACTCAATTTATTCCTTTCAATAACTTTTTTGAGGTAAGTATTGTTCCCTCGACTGGCAAATAGGAATACTGAATGTAAAGTTAGGGAAGACAACCAATACTACAGCCAGGTTCCATATTCAGCTTTCTCTACTGTAAATGCCATATTCTTTTCAATTGATTATACTTTCCTCCAGGATTATACTTTTTCCATGTATAGGTAAAGTGAGGTAAAGCAGATTACTATTGTTATTCAAATCGACTCCAAAAATACTGGTACACAAGAGAGTTAAGAAAAAACAAGATAAGGAGGTCAGGGCATGTTTTCTGCTCCAGTTAAGGCTGAACTGAGCACCTAGAAACTTGCAGTAGCTCCAAACTCTGACTATATCAGTAACTTTAAGCAGATCAAGCTTTTTACCTGCACCTTATAAGGCACTTATGTATGGTGAGCAAGAAATAAGTCTTTGATCCTGGAAACAATACTAGTTTCTCTTGTTCAGAAAACATACTTAAACTCTCTGAAACTTAGTTTCCCTCACTATAAAGAAAAAAAGTGTTGGATTAGAATGATGATGTAATTTAACTCAACAGACATTAATTACCTACACAGAAGAATGAAGAGCTAAAGAAAAGATGAGTCATACATGAAACAAAGAAATTTATATTTTGCCTGTTAAAATAACTCTGAGACAAAAAGTATTCCATAACTGAAATCCCATAATAATTACGTTTTATAGATACATCAATAAAGGAAGGGTTAATTTTGATTGAAAGTATTAGCATTACGTTAATAGGAGACAATAATTGAACTGTATTGAAAGGAGGAAGAGTGTTTAAAATAGTGGCTAAAGAAAAACTCACACACACAGGCAATGGCTAGAGTGTGTAATTAAGTATGGTTTAATGATATATGAATGGGATTGAATGGGGCTCCAAATGTCATACTAAGGGATTTGTGGTTTATGAACAACTAAGTGTTTCTGAACTAAGAGATGATGATTAGTTAGATGTTGTGAGAGCAAACTCTCAGAGATATTTGGGTTCTCATTTTGTTTTTGAAATTTTATGTCTTTATGACAAATACGGAAAAGCTTAGTTTCATCTTTTTAATCTTAAAATATCATGTTATTAACCTTTCACACATGATTGCTTCCATCTCTGTTGTGTTGCCAGCACACATGATTTGAGGGAGTTTTATTTTCTGATCTTAACTAACAGATTATTTTAGCTTGTGAATTGCTTCAAAAATAATATTTAGGGCTAATTATTATGGGTTAGAATACCCTTGGAGTTAGAATAAAAATTGGGTTTTCATTATAATGAATGATAATCTTGGTGGAATTATTATCAGTATTCTTAGCTAAAGACTTTTGGAGTGAAGAATGGGATGAGTGAAAAGACAGCTTTTCTGGTCTTCTAATTGAGGGGGAAAAACTTTCCTGGAGAGAGGGGAAAAAGGGGGCAATCATTTTTTATCTTTCTTCTCATAATTGCCTTCCTTTGCAGATTTAATGAAGTTTTAAGTTTGAAAAGAAGCAGGCAAGGCTACCACAATGAAAGAAGTAAACAACATTCTCAAAGCACCCTATTCATGATTTTTAAAATGTGCTATCGTAAACACTGACATGAAATTAAGAATTTATAGGCTGCTTTTTATAAGTGAAACACCATCGCAATAGTCTGCTCTGTTTTCTTTAATTTTGTTTGGTTATATTCCATTTAACTATATTCTGCAGAATGCTTTTTAATATTCTCAAAGAAAATCTGCAAATGACTAGGCTTCCTGTGCATTGACCTTCGCTCTTCTTTTGAATCGGCAGTATGGCTCATCTTAGTCAAGCTGTTGAAACATTTGTGGCATAATGCATCAAATTAAAGCAACCAGCTGTGATGTTTAATTTAAGCTATAAGTTTATGATCTACAACTATATAATACCTTAGGGAATAATTGATATTGTATGTAACCGCACTATAGTGACATGCAAGACTTGTTACAAAATGCCTATAAAATGTCACATATCTTATTGTATTAAGGCATTTGGACTTCAGGTTTTAAAAGAGCATCATTATTTATCCAAAAATGAATAACAGAGGATAAATGAATAGACTTCAACATCATTCTCTAAAAATAGATGAGATGTGAAGTCATTTGTTCTCATGTGTCAGAAGAGAGGTTCTTTGTTTTATCCCCTATTGTTTATAATAAGTTCCTCCATTATTTATGGATATTCTAAAATTTGGAAATGTCATTAACCATGAGGCTCAACTCAGTTTATCAAATTTCTCATTGTATGAAAGTGAAGGCATTTAATAGCCACCAAAACAAGATGATATTCATTTATCATCCCCCTTTTCTTTGATGTGATGTGCAACACGTAATTGTTCAAGTGGCCAAGCTGATAAAGGCTGCTTCATGCCATAGATCATTAGAGAACTCAAGCACTCGGGAACATACTAGAGAGAGAAATAAAGAGATGGATACAGAGAGATGATGCAGTTTTTGTTGTTCTTGCTGTTGTTGTTGTTGTTTTTGTTTTTTGAGATGGAGTCTCGCTCTGTAGCCCAGGCTGGTGTGCAATGGTGCAATCTCAGCTCACTGCAACCTCCGCCTCCCAGATTCAAGTGATTCTCCTGCCGCAGCCTTCTGAGTAGCTGGGACTATAGGAATGCATCACTACGCCCAGCTAATTTTTGTATTTTTAGTGGAGACGGGGTTTCACCATGTTGGCCAGGATGGTCTCGATCTCTTGACCTTGTGATCCGCCTGCCTTAGCCTCCCAAAGTGCTGGGATTACAGGTGTGAGACACCACACCCAGCCAATTTTGTTTTTTAATATAGGCATTGGGTTTTCTAAATTACTAAACAAGATGAGCAAGGAGAAGAAAACAAGGGATTAGTATTTCCTTTAAAGAAAATCAACTTATGAATACAAAAGTCATCTATAAGCATTTGTTGAATTCGTTTTTTGTGAAATACTTAGACAAAGTTAGAAATAGATACTTAGGAATGTTACGTTACTTTCTCAAGGTCTTGGGAGGGAGGGAAAAACAGCAGCTGGTGAGATGCAGACCATTTGATGACCTAGCCAAATGTCCCATCCACAAGATAGCATCAAAATAGAAACCCCATGGTGAGATTTTTTTTTTATGGGAAAAAAAACTTCTTCTAAAGTTGAAAGACATAACAAATTTTCACAAAAATAAGAACAAAAGAAACATTTTAAAAAAATTTAGAGGTTTGCTACATGGCCACTAGCTTTATGTGCTTATTTAAAAAACTTCAAATACAAACCTTTGAATGATTTGCGTTTGTTGATAAAGGATTTATGAAATCATACCATAAGAAAATATTTTTGTAACTTTTAAGATATTACCTAAAGCTGTGCCTAGAGATAACTGGAAATATGAGAGGAAATAAATGCTTCTACAGCAGTGTTAGGTAGAAAGAAGCATTATTCAATTATTCTGAGTGGGTACCTAGCTAACTTTTTAAATTGAAGATGGAAGGAAAGCCAAATGTGAAAGAATCATTTACTTATCATTACATTAGCATTCTCTTTCACCTCGAAATAGAGTAGGGAACAAAAGGTTCTTTAACACATTTAGTACCGTACCATATGCAACTGTTTGCCTATATTTTGAAAATAAAATTAAAGACAGTTATTAAATCATGCATTTTGATAAATCAAAAATATGAGAAAAGCTCATTGGGACTATGAATGTCATCTGTCACTATCAGGGACAAAGAGAAAAATAGAACCAGTATAAGAAGGTCAAGGCATTTTTACTTTTAGCTTAATATTAGTTGTTTGTCCCCAAATGTTAGCTTTAAAAATTGCCTTTTTCCTCTCAAAAATGTACATACATATACATAAATCTGGCAGGTAATGTATATTTCCTTAGACACTCTTAACACTTAAGATGATCTGTGCATATTCAATAAGATTATTGTTCAAAGGTCATAACCAATCATGTGCCTCATAAGATAAAAAATAATGACCTGAGCTTCAAAATATTATTTGTTTACAATTACAGATCTGCAAGGAGTTTTAAAGGTCAATACCATTGTAAAGATTTTGGTTTCATATTTACAAGAACTGGGGAGGTGGAACAAGATAGTAAAATAGAACCCTCCAATGATGGTTCCCGCAACAGGAACACCAAAGCAGAAACTCTGAAGCTAAGAAGTGCAACTGACACACTGAAGAATGCATCAGTCTCTCACCAACAGAATTGATTCAGAAAAAGAAAGAATTAGTAAACCTGAACACACTCTATTTGAAAATACACAGTCAGAGGAGGCAAAAGAAAAAAGAATTAAAAAGAATGAAGCAGTCTGTAAGATTTAGAAAACAACCTCAAAAGAGAAAATCTAAAAGTCATTGGCCCTAAAGAAGAGGTAGAGACAGAGAGATCGGGGTAGAAAGTTTATTACAAAAGATAATAACAAAGAACTTTTGAAATGTAAGAAAGATATCAATATTCAAGTACAAAAAGGTTAAAGAAAACCAAGCAGATTTAACCCGCATAAGACTACCTAAGATATTTAATAATCAAACTCCCCAAATCAAGTATTTTTTTAAAAGAGGTCCTAAAAGCAGCAAGGGAAAAGAAACAAGTAACATACAAAGAAGCTCCAATATGTTTGGCAGGGGACTTAGTAGAAACCTGATATGCCAGGAGAGGGTGGCATGATATATTTAAAGAAAATATCTTTCAAACATGAAGGAGATACAAAGTCTTTCCCAGACAAACAAAATTTGAGGGATTTTTTTCAACACTAGACACGTTCTACAATAAATGCTAAATAGAGTTCTTCAATCTGAAAGTAAAGGATGTTAACAAGCAATAAGAAATCATCTGAAGGTACAAAGTTCACCGGTAATAGTAAGTTGACAGACAAATACAGAGTATTATAACACTGTAATTCTGGGATGTATACTACTGATAGCTTGAGTAGAAAGACTAAAAGATGAACCAATCGAAAGTAATAACTACAACTATTCAAGACATAGGCAGTATAGCAAGATATAAATAAAAGCAACAAAAAGTAAGAAAACTGATGGAATGAAGTTACAGTATAATTTTTATTCATTTTATATTGACTTGCTTGCTATTTTTGTTGTTTATGCAATCAGTGTTAAGTTTTGAACAGTTTAAAGTAATTTGTTATAAGATGTTATTTGCAAGCCTCATGGTAACCTCAAATGCAAAAAACTGCAATCGATACACAAATAATAAAAAGCAAGAAATGTAATCATACCACCAGAGAAAATCACTTTCACAAAAAGTATGCCAGGATAGAAGGTGGGAAGAAGGATAAAAGGAAGGAAGGAAGGAGAAGGAAGGAAAAAATACAAAATAACTGGAAAACGAGAAACAAAATGGCAGTAGTAAATCATTACTTATTAATAACATTGAATCCAAATGGACTAAACTCTCCAATCAAAAGACATAAAGTAGCTGAATGGATTTTTTTTTAAAGCCCCAACTATCTGCTCTCTACAGGATACAAACTTCACCCATAAACACACACATACACTGAAAATAAAGAGATGAGAAAAGATATTCCATGAAAATGAAAAGCAGAAAATGGCAGGAGTAGCTCTATGTACATCAGACAAAATAAATTTTAAGACAAAAACCATAAAAAGAAACAGAGATGGTCATTATTTAATGATAAAGGGGTCAATACAGCATGAGGATATTAACAATTATAAATATATATATGCACCCAACACTAGAGCACCCAGATAAACAAGCAAATATTATTTGAATTAAAGAGAGATAGACTCCAATGCAGAAATAACTGGACACATCAACACCCCACTTTCAGCATTAGAGAGATCACACAGATAGAAAATCCACACAGAAACATCAGACTTAATCTGGACTATAGACCAAATGGGCCTAATAGATGTTCACAGAATGTTTCATCCAATGGTTGCAGAATACACATTATTTTCCTTGGCACATGGATAATTCTCAATGATAGACTGCATGTTAGACCACAAAAGGGTCTTCAAAAACAAAAAAATTTGAAATAATATCAATTATCCTTTCTAACTACAATGGAATAAAACTGAAAATCAATAACAAGAGGATCTCTGAAAACTACACAAGCCCATGGAAATTAAACAGTATGCTCTGAATGACCACTGGGTCAATGAGAAGCTTAAGGAAATTTTAAAATTTCTTGAAACAGATGAACATGGATCAACATACCAACATCTATGGGATACAGCGCAAGAAGTACTAAGAGAAAAATGTATAGCTATATGATCCTAAATATTTTTTTTTAAAACTTGAACAAGCTAACAATACATCTTAAAGAACTACAAAAGCATGAGCAAATCGCAAATGTAAAATTAGCTGAAGAAATTAATAAAGAACAGAGCAGAAATAAATGACATTGAAATGAAAACATACAGAATACAAAAGATCAACAAAATGAAAAGTTAATTTTTTGAAAAGATACATTTGATGAACCTTTAAAAAGTCTAAGAAAAAAAGAGAGAAGACCCAAATAAATGAAATAAAAGACAAAAAAAAGGAGACATTACAACAGATAGTGGAGAAATTCAAAAGATCATTAGAAACGAGCAAACATACATTAAAAAAGGAAAAAATAGAAAAAATAAATATATTTTGAGGATATTCAACCCAAAAAATTTAGCCATAAAGAAAACCAAAATCTGAATAGACCATAACAAGTAATGAGATTTAAGCCATAATAAATAGTCTCCCGGTAAAAAAAAAAAAAAAAAAAGCCAAGGACCTGGTGGCTTTACTGCTAAATTTTATCAGACATTTAAAGAGCTAACACCAATCCTTCTTAAACAACTAAGAAAAATAGAGGAGGAGGAAGTACTTCTACATGCATTCAGTGAAGCTAGTATTACCCTGATACCAAACCAGACAAAGACACATCAAAAAAGAAAACTACAGGCCAATATCTCTGAAAAACATTGATGTAAAAAACCTCAACAAAATGCTGGCAAACAGAACACAACAACACATTAAAAAGATCATTCATCATGAGCAAGTGGGTTTATCTCCAGGATGCAAAAATGGTTCATCAAATGCAAATCGATGTGATACATCATAAAAACAAAATGAAGGACAAAATCGTGATCATTTCAACTGACACGGAAAAAGAATTTAATAAAACTCAATATTATTTCATGATTAAAAAGTCCTAAAAAAACTGGGTAAATAAGAAACATACTTCAATACAATTTAAGCTATATATAACAGACCCACAGCTAGTTATCATAGTGAACAGAGAAAAACTAAAAGCCTTTCCTCTAAGATCTGGAACACAACAAGAGTACACTTTCACCACTGTTATTCAACATAGTACTGGAAGTCCTAGCTAGAGCAATCAGACAAGAGAAAGAAATAAAGTACATCCAAATTGGAAATGAAGAAGTCAAATTATCCTTGTTTGCAGATAATATGATCTTATATTTGAAAAATCCTGAAGATTCCACTAAAAACAATCAAACTGATAAACTCAGTAAACTTCTAGGATACAAAAATCAACATACAAGAATCTGTGCATTTCTTGATGCTAAGAGTGAACAATCTGAAAAAGAAATCTAGAAAGTGTTCCCATTTACAATAGCTACAAATAAAGTAAAATACTAGGAATTAACAAGAGAAGTAAAATATCTCTACAATAAAAACTATGAAACATTCTTGAAAGAAATCAAAGAAGAAACAAAAAAATGAAAAGATATTCCATGTCCATGGATTAGAAGACCCAATACTGTTAAAATGTCCATACTAGCTAAAGCAATCTATAGATTCAATGTAGTCCTGAGCAAAATACCGATGACCTTCCACTGAAATAGAAAAAAAAAAATCCTAAAATTTAGATGGAGTCACAAAAGACCCAGAATAGCCAAAGCCATCCTGAGCAAAAAGAGCAAAACTGGAGGAATCACATTACCTGACCTCAACTTAACGCTACAAAGCTATAGTAACCAAAACAGCATGGTACTGGCAGAAAAAAAAAGCCACATAAAGCAATGGAACAAAATAGAAAATCCATAAATAAATTCATACATCTACAGTAAATTCATTTTCAACAGAGGTGACAAGAACATAAATTAGGGAAAGGACAGTCTCTTCAACAAATGGTGGTGGGAAAACTAGATATCTCTATGCAGAAAACTAAAACTAGACCCCTATTGCTACCCATATGCAAAAATCAAGTCAAAGTGGAAATAATACTTAAATCTAAGTCCTCAAACTATGAAACTGCTAAAAGAATGCATTGGGGAAACTCTCTAGGACTTTGGTCTGGGTAAAGATTTCTTGAGTATTATACCCCAAAGCACAGGTAACTAAAGCAAAAATAGACAAATGGGATCGCATCATGCTAAAAAGCTTCTGCACAGAAAACAAACAACAAAATGAACAGACAACTACAGAATGGGAGAAAATATTTGCAAACTACCTAACTGACAAGGGATTAATAACTAGAATATATAAGAAGCTTAAACTACTCTATAGGAAAAAACTTAATAATCCAATTAAACATGGGCAAAGGATGTGAATATTCACTTCTCAAAACAAGACATACAAACAGCAAACAGGCATATGAAAAGGTGCTCAACATCATTGATCATCAGAGAAATGCAAATCAAAACTCCAGTGGGATATCATCTCATCCTATTTAAAATGGCTTTCATTCAAAAGACAGGCAATAACAAATGCTGGCAAGGATGTGGAGAAAAGGGAACCCTCGTACACTATTGGTGAGAATGTAAATTAGTACAGCCACTTTGAAGAACAGTTTGGAGGCTCCTCAAAAATCTAAAATTGATTCAGCTACCATACGATCTAGCAATCCCACTGCTGGGTATATACCCAAAAGAAAGGAAATCAGTATATTAAAGGTATATCTCCATTTTTATGTTTGTTGCAGCACTGTTCATAATAGCCAGTATTTGGAAGCAACTGAAGTGTCTATCGACAGAGGAACAGATAAAGAAAAGGTGGTACACACACACAATGAGTACTAATCAACCATGAAGAAAGAATGAGGTCCTGTAATGTGCAACAACATGGATGGAACTGGAGGTCATCATGTTAAATGAAATTAGCCAGGCATGTAAAGACAAACTTTGCATGTTCCCACCTATTTGTGAGAGCTACAAATTAACAAAATTGACCTCATCGAGATAGAGAGTAGGAAGATGGTAACCGAAGGCTGGAGAGGGTAGTAAGGTGGGAGTGGTGGGGGAAAAAGGGATGTTTAGTAAGTACAAAAAGTAGTTAGAAAGAATAAGGCCAAGTGTTTGATGACATAACAGGGTGACTATAGTTACTAATAATTTGGCTACACATTTAAAAATAACTTAAAGAGTATAACCGGACTATTTGCAACACAAAAGATAAACACATGAGAAGATGGATATACTATTTAGCATGATGTGATTATTATACACTGCATGCCTATATCAAAGTATCTCATCAACCCCATAAATAATATTCAACTACTCTGTATCCACAAGAATTAAAAATTTTTTAAAAAGAAAATAAGTGTATTGAAGAACTCTGCACTCCCATGTTTACTGCAGCACTGTTCACAATAGTCAATATTTGGAGGCAATCTAATTGTCCATGAACAGACAAATAGATTAAAAACAATGTTATGCATATACACAATGAGTACTACTCAGCCACAGAGAAGAATGAGATCCTGTCCTTCGGAACAACATGAATGGAACTGGAGGACATTATGTTAAGTGAAATAAGCCAGGTACAGAAAGTCAAATTTTGCATGTTCTCATTCATTTGTGGGAGCCAAAAATTAAGATAATTAAGCTCATGGAGCCAAAGAGTGGAATGATGGTTACCAAAGGCTGGAAAGGCTAGTGGAGGTATTGGGGGAAGAGGGTAATGGTTAATGAGTAAAAAAATATACTTAGATAGGATGAATATGATCTAGTATTTGACAGCACAACAGGGTGAGTGCAATCAATAATAATTTATTGTCCACTTAAAAATAACTAAAAGAATATAATTGGAATGTCTGTAACACAAAGAAATGATAAATACTTGCAGTGATGGATAACTCATTTACCCTGATGTGATTATCACTCATTGTATGCCTGCAACAAAATATCTTACATATCCTGTAAACATATATAGCAACTACGTATCCAGAAATTTTTAAAAAACTGTAAGCATGTTTCTCTATTAAATTGAATGCGGTTAAATATTTATAAATATTTGAAAGATGAATTACCTTTAATTTGGCTTCTTTATTCCCTTCTGAGAAGCTGTGTGGAGCTGTTGTTTTAAGAGTGTACTGTGCCTGACAGTGAGTGGATAGAAATAAGTTTACTCAGGTCTTCTGAGGCTTGGTTATGAAGAGCCTGTCAAGTCTCTCAAAACTGGCAACAGTGAGCCATCTAAAGCCTTCTGGATGGCATACAGCACACTGTATTCTACAAAGGAGGGGAGAGCTGGGGAGGGCAAGTGCGAATAGAAGTAATTCAGCTAATTAAACGCCCTAGATTAGCGATCCTCAATCCCCAGGCCACTGACCTGTACCAGTCCGTGGCCTATAAGGAACTGGGCCACACAACAGGAGGTGAGCAGTTGGCAAGGGGTTATTACTGCCTGAGCTCTGCTTCCTGTCAAATCAGTGGTGGCATTAGAGTCTCATGGGGGTGTGAATCCTACTGTGAACTGGATATACAAGGGATTTAGGTTGCAGGCTCCTTATGAGAATCTAATGCCTGATGATCTGAGGTGGCACAGTTTCATCCCCACCCTGCTCCACCCCCGATACATGAAAAAACTGTCTTCCACAAAACCAGTCCCTGGTGCCAAAAAGTTTGGGAACTGCTGCTGCAGATGAGAAAAAATAGTGAAGTGGAAGTGGTTTTTATTCTACGTAATCTCTGATTAGTTTTGTGGCATCTTAAGAAATTTCATATCCATAGCCTTGCTACACACAAGAAAATTTCTTATGTTATGGATTCAACTTATAGCCTAAAATGTAAGTCTAAATTTAATGGGTTTTCTTAAGAAAAATAAAGGATATGTGAAACAAGTAGAAGAAGATCAATAATTAGTTTCCAAATTGTATTGAAGATTTTGGCTAATGCCTATACAAACTATCTCATTGCTCTTCTATCTTAATTTTCTTTCACTAGCAGACATTCTGTTCTGGGAAGTGACTATAAAGACCCTTTGTAAAATAAGGTTAATGCTTCTTTGCCTTTGTAATTTGCTTCATTACTTCGGCTACTCACTCATTTATAACATGCTCAAATATTTCCTCAAAGCAAATTAGTAATTTATTTCTAATTTTCCATAGTTTTGTAAAATTCACAGTGCTAGCCATTGTCAAGGAGAAGAGAGAGGGCTGAGGGAACAAGCATGGGGGAGTGATATGGTTTGCATCTCTGTTGCCACTCAAATCTCATGTTGAATTGTAATACCCAATTTCAGAGGTGGGGACTCTTGGGAGGTAATCGAATCATGAGGGTGGTTTCTCATGGTTTAAACCATTCCTCTGGGTGTTGTCCTGGCCCAAGAGTGAGTTACTGCAAAATCTGGCTTCCCTCTTCCTCCTGCTCTGACCATGTAAGACATGCCTGCTTCCCCTTCACCTTTCAGCATGATTGAAAGTATCCTGAGGCCTCCCCATAACCGATCATGCTTCCTGTACAGCCTGTGGAACCATGAGCCAATTAAACCTCTTTTCTTTACAAATTATCCAGTCTCAGGTATTTCTATATAGCAGTGCAAGCATGGACTAATACAGGCAGTAAAAAATGTGTATGGAGAGGGATAAGGAAATAAAAAAAATTGAGAAGATAAAGTTGCATTGTTGTTGTTGTAACTGTCCCCTAGGTGTTAAATGATTTATAACATCTTTCATACTGAAATGATTATTTGTGTAAATGGGCAAAAAAATAGGAGGATATAATGCTAGAAGGATAAAATGAATTACTTTACTGATGTATGTATGCCTACCAGTTGCCTGAATTAGTGTGTGAGATACTAAGTCTAATGTTTCCATAATCAATAGGAAACCAACAAGAATAAAGGCAAACACATATCAGAGATATGACAGCTGGAAGGTAGACATTTAAAAAAACATGACTTTCTAAATTCTAATTAGTAGGGATTAGTGTTCAATTGAAGGCAAAATTGTCTTTTCATTGCTCAAAAGGTCACCTCTGACTAAACAAAACTATGGCAAACTGAAATGAAATAGCTCTACAAGAAATTCTAGAGAGAATTTGTGTTATTATCTTCCTCATTCTTGATCCTTATTCATGACTATAGCAAAAGCACTTGGTTTTGTGAGTGATCATCTGAAGACAATTTCTAGCCTGTTCCTGTCAATATATGTTTATATCTTTAGGCAACTGAGCAAGCCGTATTACAATTACTCTGTCTATAAAATAACATCAATTTTACATGATTTTACAATTTCTTAAAGCTAAAATAGTCAACTGACAAGGAAAAGAATATATTGGATTCACCAAAATGAAAAAGTGCTGCCTAGATGAATAAAGAAAACAAAAACCTAAGGGTCTTATGACATTGAAATTTTCAGACATATGGAAAAGTTATCTCTTGATATTTAATATTTAATAGTCAAAACCTCTCGAGAACACCTACCAGCAGTCATAGAAATGTAATTAATTACAAGTCATTGGAAACACAAAGAAAAGATATTGGTGATATTTTAGCCTACAAGAATGCTAGACATAGCATAGTTCAACAGATATCGACTTGCAGTAGACTAGTCCCAAATATTTATTGGACCAGAGATTGTGCCTAGATTGCTGGGAACATCAATAATCAAAAAAGAAATAACCACTCTTCCCATAGATTGTCAAGGGATGTTTTGCATCTATAGATCTATTTTTCACTGAGAATCAGTTTTACTCTGTTTTGTGCTGCTATAAGAGAATACCACAAACTGGGTAATTTATAAGCAATGGAAGTTTACTTGGCTGAATGGTACTGAAGGCTAGGAAGTCCAAGATTGGGGGGCCACACCTTATGATGATCTTTTTGATGTGTCATCACATGGTAGGAGGTATCACATGGAGAGAGAGCTTGCCAGAGATAGTATAAGAAAACTACTCTTTAGATAGCGAACTTACTCCTAGGGTAACAACATGAATCCATTCAGGAAAGCAGAGCCCTCATGACCTAACCACCTCTTAGAGGTCCCACCTGTCAACACTGTTGCATTGGAGGTTGTTTCCAACACATGAACTTTGGGGGACACTTTCAAACCATAGCATAACCTAAATCCAACTTCTTTCTTTTCTGACAAACATTGCAGAATAAAAGAATCTGTTTATCACAGAGGCATGTAGAAAGCAAGCATAGAGCACTCAGGTTAGAAAAAGGATGTGGGTTGTCAAGCAAGCATGCTGAAGCAAACAAACAGCAGTTCATGGAAAATATGGGAGGATCCTAGCCCATGAAAACATTAGTGAGCAAGTTGACATGGAAAAGATGGAAATGAAGAGCCCTGATATAAGAAAGTGATATTAGAGCACAGCTCATGGTGGTAAAATAAAATAAAATAAAATAAAATAAAATAAAATAAAATAAAATAAAATAAAATAAAATAAAATAAAAACGTGATAGGTAGAATTGAATAAAGTAGAAAAAAATCTGATCCAGATGAGATTCTCTGGTTCAACAAAGCGCTAAAGGGCTTTTGTTGGTGTTTTAATGACAAAGTGTTTTTACATAGAACTACCATGCTGCCACTTAGAGTAAGCAAATATGTTTCAAGTTTTAAGAAATGAAGGCTTAACAATCTTTTTTCCTTTCCTTCCTCCCTTGCTTTCTTTGTCTCCTTTCTTTCTTTGCCTTTTTGCTTTTTTCTTCCTTCTTTCTTTTTTTCTGATTGGGTAAGTGACAATCTTCAAATGTTATTTTGGATAATAACAATATTAAATATCTAACAAAAATTACAATTTTACTACATTGTTAAAGATAGCTAAATAAAGAGCTTTGTTTGCTGTAAAAAGAAAAAAAGAAACGCAAAGAAAAATGAGGGATAAAGGAAACGAAAAGGGTGTATAATAGAAACATATATGATCACACTTATTTAGGAGTTAGTGAGATGTGATATGTAAAAGTATCTATCATCTGACTGAAAAAGAAAATTGTTATTGAACTGGAGGCAGAGGAAAATAATGATTCCTGTGAATAATGTTTGTTTGAATATTACAGGAACTCACTACTCTATATCTCAAAAGAAAAAGATGTTAATAAAATAATTTCTGTGAAAAATAAAAGAAGGAAAAATGTTACATCAGGTAATCCAGGGACACGGATGAAATTGGAAATCATCATTCTCAGGAAACTATCGCAAGGACAAAAGACCAAACACCGCATGTTCTCACTCATAGATGGGAATTGAACAATGAGAACAAATGGACACAGGAAGGGGAACATCACACTCTGGGGACTGTTGTGGGGTGGGGGGAGCGGGGAGGGATAGCATTAGGAGATATACCTAATGCTAAATGATGAGTTAATGGGTGCAGCACACCAGCATGGCACATGTATACATATGTAACTAACCTGCACATTGTGCACATGTACCCTAAAACTTAAATAATAATAATAATAATAAAAAGAAATTGTTTCTCAAAAAAAAAAAAAAAAAGACAAAAAATAGTGTGCTCCTGTAGTGTGCTTCTGTAATACGGGTTTTCTGAACCTAAAGTTTATTAATAAAAGAGAGAGAAGACATAATGATGGGGCAAACTGTGGCATCATTTCCAAACCAGGCCAGTCTATTGAGTGCATAATATGCTGAGTAGTAGTAGCGTTTTTGTGGAGTCCAGCTACATAACACAGAATCAAGGCTCACCTCTATCCTGCAACTTCAGTCATAAAGCAACAGCTTTTGTGTCCTCTGTTACATTGTCCTATTTCCATCTTGAATTGCTGGACTAATGTGAAGCTGCCATCACAAAATCCTTAAGTGATAGAGTTGTTTCATGCCTTGAACTAGCTAAGGGTGCTGTACTGTGACATCCTGTTGTCTTTAAAGGTAGGATTAGATTTACATTCACATAAGGCAAGAGAGGAAGCATAAAAAACCAGGGCCACCATTAAGTCAGTTGTCATTACTAAAAAGAAATGTTGAATAATGATTTATTTGGAAAATGGCCAAAATGCTTTTGAAATGCTTCATTAGAGAGTAATTGACTTTCATTTGAGAAGAGGGACCATATGGTAGGTTGTTTCTAACGTACATAATTATTTACTAGTCTTGGGGACACAGTACCAGCCCAGACACTTTTTAAGTGCATATGAAAACACAATCTAATTGCTAACATATATTTTTATGCTGAGAACCTTCTGAGTTTTTTTAAATAAATAACTAAATCCTACTTCACAATAATCTTATAATAAATTGTACTCAGAAATGTATCTTCTAATTGTTCTACAAAGTTTTTATGTTTTTAATTTTTTACTTCTCAGATTTTGAACTACCTATTCTTAGTCTGTGAAAAATGGACTCTAATATATTTCTTTATCAAAACATTGTTCCTTTTAGTCTTTCATCACTACCACTCCTACCACTCCAATCCCACCAATATCACTGAGCAATCAACACTAGTCTAACAGAAAAAAAAAATATATATATATATATATATATGAGTCATCATATCAGGAGATCCATGGTTTTCATCATGGCTTTCTAAGAAATCATCCAACTATGAAATATTACATTTAATCTCATTTTCTCTATTTTCTCATCTGGAAATATAGGCTGATGCCCTATCTCACAGATTTTGTAAGGGTCAAATGAGACATAGTATTCACAAAGTACATTAAATGTTTAAAGTGATTATTATTGGATATTCTGAGTTAATTAAGTTGTGATAACTCTACAAGAATTTTGTATGCTTTTTCTTTGTCACTTGCTTAATTAGTTAACTTTTTGTACCTTTTTTACTTCATCAAGCAAAAGTTACTAATTCGTTAAAAGCAAGTAATCAACGGCCTTTTCTATTACAAGGGCAAATTTTAAAAATATGCCAACTCCAAAGCTTCTTAAATGTGTACTTAGAGATTACTTATTTCTCCTAAAATGTAACCTCTCAGTTATTTAAATAAGCAAAATAAGTATAATCCTATAGCTGCATGTTTATATCACTGGGACATCAATCATTATACATAATACTGTGTTATTGCTTTTGGAATTTATTTATTAGAATCATAAGCTACAAACCCTGCAGGGACTAATTTAAATACACATTACATCTCTCAGTGCTTAGCACTGGCTTTTTGATTTAGTTCAAGTTTTGTAACTCTCATATCATTAGTAGACAATTCTGCATTCAATTTTAAATCCAGAAAACTCAGAGGTTTGCATCTTTTTCTGCTTTTGAAAAATCCAACATAAACTAATTTCTAAAATATATCCCTGTGCATTACTATCCTTGGATCTTGTTTGTTTCCCGAATGGCACATATCCTAATTCATCAATACTTACTTGCTGATTTTTTATTATCATTTGTATAATTGTTTTATCGAGTTATAATTCATATACAATAAAATTTACCCTTTCAAAGTGTACACTTCAGTGGTTTTTAGTATAGTCAGAGTTGTTCAACCATCACCACTATGTAATTCCAGAACATTTTTCCTCACCTTAAAAAAATACTCCATACCCATTAACTATCATTCCCCATTCCCCACTCCTCCATTCCCTGACAAGCACTAATCTACTTTCTGTCTGTATAGACTTGCCTATTGTGGACATTTTATATAAATGGAATAATACCATATATGGCCTTTTCTCTCTGCCTTCTTTGACTTTGCGTATTTTCAAGTTTACTTCATGTTCTAGTGTTTTATTTTTCATGGATGAATAATGTTTTACCGTATGAATATACCATATTTTTAAATCCATTAATCAATTGATGAACATTTGCATTATTTCCACATTGAGCTATTATGAATACCATTGCTATGAAAATCAGGTACAGGTTTAAGTGAACATATATTTTTACTTATCTTGGGTATAGACCGAGGAGTAGATATTGCATCACATCTAGAAGTAGAAACTATTACCATATCAAAAAATGTTAACTCTATATTTAACATTTTTAAAAATTAAAACTTTTTCCAAAGGAGTCACATCATTTTCATCCCCAACAGCAAAGTATAGTGTTGTAATTTCTCCATATCCTTGCTAATATTTTTTATTTTCTGTCTTTCTGATGAAAGCCATCCTAGTGGGTGTCAAGTGGTATCTCATTGTGGTTTGGGTTTGCATTTTCCTAATGAATAATTATATTGATCACATTTTTCATGTGCTTATTGGACATTCATATATCTTACAGTGAGAAATGTCTATTCAAATGGTATGCCCATTTTAAAACTAGGTTATTTTTCTTTTTATTGTTGAATTATACAAATTTTTTATGTATTCTGGATATAAGTCTCTTATCAGATACATGATTTTCAAACAGTTTCATTGTATTGGTTGTCTTCACTTTCTTGATAGTCATCTTTAATGCCAAAAAGTTTTTAATTTTGACACAAAGGCTCACATTTTCATACCTCAAATCTAGTACTTATTGTTCAAATTCAAATCTGTTTGATAAAAATTATATCAAATTTTTAAATACAACTGTCTCAGTGAAGTCTTACCTATTTGAGGACTAAGCCATACATATGAAATAAAATCTGTGTTAAAAAACAATAAATTCATTCAACAACGGCAAAGATCCAAAATTATTCACTTTGATTCCTAATCTCATAACAGTCCTTAAATATATCTTGATTCTAGCAAAGAAACATGTGTTTAGTAGCAGCATCTGCTTTGGTACACTTAACTTTATTTATTAATGTATTTTGTATTAAGTAATACTTGCACCACAAAATTGTCTTATAAAGAAAAACAATGATCTGAGAACTGTTGCAAATAAATAGCTATATTAATCATAATATCAGAGAGAAATAGAAATTTGAAGTTCAGATTTTAGGATTCAATTATTTTTTAATTCTATCATCCTATAAACAAGTATTCCAAGGAAAACAATTAAATACATGCCCGGTAATTACATAAGCCAGAATTCCTTGAATCTTTTGTCAGTGTTTATGAATCATAAAGCTTCGCTAGAGAAAGAGCCTTTTTCCCATAAAGAGAGCAATTACTGTAGTTGTATCATGATTTTGAAAGAGAAATTAATTAAATATGCAGTCAATATTCCTTCAAAATACATATATTGAGTGGACAATAACATTTTTTCCACAATGTGAAATTCATAAACTTTATTTACAGTAACTAAAATTATGTTTCCCCTATTATTCCTTTAGCCTGACATGACAGATGAGATTCAGGGAAAGAGAAATTAGTTAATTCCATTGTGCCAAACAACAATGTGTGTCAGAAGTAAGACTAGAATGGGATCAGTTTCTGTGTGCTACATATGAATTTGTCCTGGTCACTGGTCACTTCTGTCACTTCAAACATTAGACTAGTGAAATTAGGCATTCACATTTCATTTTGATCTTTCTCTTTCAAGACATAAATGTCAAGTAGGTGCCAAAAACTTGTGAAAATCATAAATGCACTGCAAAATATCTTTTGACCTCTAGGTCATTTTTCAAGAGCCATATGTATTTGTCTTTTACTCCCAATCTGATAAGTCACTATTTCTTACAGCTCTTCCGCTTCCCTCTCTTCCTTCCTCCCTTCTTTGGCAGTAAATGATAAGCAAATATGGAGGGCAGAATCATTTCCTAAGTAAAAAGTATAAATTTATCAATTCTGTAGAGTACTTGCATATATCAAATGCCATAATAAAATACTTCTAAATTATATTATGGTATCAGATTAGGCTTTGTTGCGTCTGTGACCATAGACGTGGTAAAGGTAAGAAATGCAGATTTTATTCATTATTTTCCTTTACAGACACCACTTTGAAGTGGAAAAGTCACTTCAGCACATGAATAACAATATTTATTCTCCATATTAATAATTGAAATACCACAGGCAATACTATCTCCAAATCAAATGTATTTAGATTCCTTAACGTAAAGAATTTGAACTTTGAAGAAAACAAATAGAAAAGGTTTAATTAACTTTTATATATTACCACTGAGGTTGAAGGTTCTATGTGTGCAATTGTCTTATTTGATCTAAAAAGCAATTAGAGTCTGTATGTTTGGGAAACTGAGAAAACCTGGTACGCTCTGTCATGTGGGACATCCATTTTTACTTAAGCGATTTGTGATGAAATTTTACTGAGGTGAATATTTCTTTCATCTTTGTTCAAATCATAATGTGGGCAACTACGTTCTTAGGAATAACTACTATTTGAAGCAATAAGAAATACCATTTTTTCCCATTTCAGGATGGAAATATAGGAAAAAGAGATAAAGTGAGTTCTCTAGAATCACAATCTAATAAGCTAGAAATGGGGCTCAATCTTAACATTCCATTTCTAGGCTAGAATTCTGTTACTGTACTTCACTGCATTTAGATGTGGGAAATGGCTATCTGTTCTTTTTTAAAAAATAACTTTTATTGGGTATATTTAAGGCATATAACATGATGTTATAAGATACATATATGTAGATATAGTAAAGTGGTTACAAATGTGGAACAAATTAACTTGTACATCATCTCACATAGTTACCCATTTTCTCCCTATGGCAAGAGCAGCTGCAATCTACTCATTTAGCAAAAATCCTGAATACAATACACTATTATTAACTGTAGTCCATATGTTGTGCATTAGATCTCTCCACTTGTTAATCCTGCATATTTACTACCTTGTATCCCTTGACCTACATTTCCCCATTTCTCCTGTTGTTCTTCATGTTAGACCCAGCATAGAAATATAAAGAAAAATATATATTCCATGGTTGGTATGACAGTTGGAGGTTGAGAAGGAGCAAGAAAAACCCATAATCTATGTCATGTGGCTGATGTGGTAGGTAGCTACTAAAAGGGCTCCCTGGTGTTCATGCACTTTATGTAATTTTCCTTTCTCATGTATGCAATGTATTTGGTAATCTGCTTCTAATGAATAGAATACAGCAAAAGTGATGGGATAACATTTCTGAGGTTAGGTCATAAAATACTGTGATTTCTGTCCTGCTCTCATTCTCTGGACTCGTCTCATGTGCTCCCTTAGAGGAAATAAGCTGCCATTTTGTCCGTTACATATGGAGAGATCAATGTGGCAAGGAGGTTAACAGCTACTGAGGAACTGTGGCCTCCATTCAATAACCAGCAAGAAACTAAATCCTGCCAAAGACCATGTGACTGAGCTTGAAAGTGGGTCATTCCCCAGTCAAGTCCTGAGACAACTGCAGGCCAGCTTGAATGCAGCTTTATGAGAGATGCTGAGCCAAAGGACTCAGCTAAGCTACTTCCAGATACCTGATTCACAGAAATTGGGAGATAATAAATTTTGTAATTTAGGATAATCTATCACAAAGATAGAGATAACTAACACAGTTTAAGCCCCAGAATTCCAGCCTCACTCTAACTCCCTCAAAATTAATATGCGATTGAAGTAAAAGATAGCATGCCTATCATGGTAGTTTTAAGGAAAAACAAAAAAAGTCTAAGACCAAAACATTGTAGTCTTAAAAAAAAAAAAAAATCCAGCTCCGAATGAGTCCCTGCCAGAGTCTACTTCCAACCAGATTGCAACCTCTAAGCCTCCCCTACATAGAGATTTGGAAGTTCACACTGATAAAATATTATGGCATTTTATACATATCAGAATACATTTTGATATATATTTCATTTATTCTTACAATAACCCTTTGAAGCATCCAAAGATATTGTTATTTCTATTTTATAGACAGAAACTGTGGAAAATGAAATAATGCAAATTTCCTAAAGTCACAAGCTAATGAGTTATGAGTTATAAATGGGAATAGATCTTAATACTCTGTTTTTAGTCTAGAATTCTGTTATTATGCCATACTTCTTTTACGTCGGGGAAGATGGTTATTTCCATAATTCTACCACATTATAAAACATAGCATCTGAACCCAGGGGAATGGATTAATTTATCAGACCCACTTTATTCTCCACAAAACCCATCTTAATTCCCATACTTGTTTTTGAAATTTCAAAATCACTTTATATATTCTTTAAGTGAAACTATCAAGAATATAAAGTCAAGATGTCAAGTTAATTTTTAAAATTAGCTTTAAAAATTTGATACATCGAATGTTACTTTCTATATATTATCTTATAAATGAGTCTTGCAAAATAATAACTGCAGCAATAACAATTTATAAGTAAATGAAGTACATTAGAAATTAGAAATCAACATCAGCTTAAACAAAACAGAACAAGGAAGCTACTCCATCTGCTCCATTGGTATATGACTCATGTGTTGAGCCCAATCAGCAAGAAGCTGTCATTTATAATTAGCATTGGAGAAGGAAGAAAGGAAGATGGGGGGAATAACCAAATTGAGTTGAATGTGTATTAAATTAATATTTTGCATAGGTTATGTAATTTAATTTGAAAGTAGAAATATGAGTGCTATAAATATATTGACAATGCCTTGTCTTTCCTCTGCATTGGCTGTTGCTAACCTAGTTCATATTAATATATAAATTAGTTGCTGAAAAAAAATGTTCAATGAATGAATGAATGTGTGAAATGAATGAGTGTCATTCACATGTAATAGATGAAGGCAATGAGGCACAAGTAGATAAATATTTAAAATGCCACTGTGAATAATGCTAAACTCTAACTACTTATTCCAAAGACATAGCCTCTTCATTTATATGAAGTGATTTCAAATAATTATTTCTTATCATGTTAAGATACAGAGTTAGTAAATAGTCATCTAATAGTGAAGCCAGAACATAAAGATATTAATCAATTAATAAATATCACTTATCTCCAAGAAAAAAAGTATTTTCCTAACACACTTTAGAGTTAAAAGGCTGGTGAAAAAATAATTTTAAGTAAATATTATTGAAGAACTCTATGAATAATGATTGCACTACATAAAAATGCAAAATATGTTACTAGTGGAAACCAGCTAAGATTTAATATCTAAACTCCAAATATTTTTCATTTTTTCTTTAGCTTTAATTCTTGCAAGAGGAAATGATATAATAAACAAAATATTTATTTAATAATTCTACAGTAGTTCTATGTTTAATAGTTTCCAAAGCTAGACTTATTCCAAAACTAAAAATAAAGAAATAGATTGAGCAAATAGTACTGAGGCTCCCTACCTCTGTTTTCTAGATCCCTAGTCTCCACTAATGGTAGTGTGAGCAGTGGTGGTGGTAGAAGCAAAGTGGTGGTATGAGATCTTCAGAGAATGAAAACAAATGTAGTCATCTATTTGGATTCTGACTGGTCATTCATATGGTTTGTCTCTGTGTCCCCAGCCAAATCTCATGTTGAATTGTAATTTCCAATGTTGGTGGAGGGACCTGGTGGGAGGTGACTGGACTGGATCATGGGGGCAGACTTCCTCTTGCTGTTCTCGTGAGTGAGTTCTCACGAGATCTGGTTATTTGAAAGTGTGTAGCACTTCCCCCTTTGCTCTCTCGCACACACACACACACTCTCTCGTGCCACTATGTGAAGAAGGTGCTTGCTTCCCTTTAACCCTTCAGCCATGATTATAAGTTTCCTAAGGCCTCCCAGCCATACTTTCTGTAGAGCCAGTGGAACTGTGAGTCAATTAAACCTCTTTTCTTTATAAATTACCCAGTCTCCAGTAGTTTTTATAGCAGTGTGAGAATGATTTATACAGTAATGTAGTAGCCTAGAGATCATAGGAGCAATCTTATAATGAAGATCAATAAATTCTAAATTAAAAAAAAAAGTTCTGAGTACTCTTCTTCAGGCTAGGAAAAAAAGAGGTAAGGTAAGGAGGCTGTATCCACCTATACCATTAAGTAAGAAAAAGGAAATATCTCAAATGATAGAGGTCTTGGAGGATGGAAAAGTGGAGTATTCAGGCCAAATTTCAGCAACAGAGAACTCAGGGAAGTGTCTTAGCCGAAACAATTTGTAGTAGACATTAAAAAATCATTTCCTGAAAGCAGTTGCACATGAGTTCCTAAAATAAAATAGCAATGCAAAAAATGACTTTAGGCATAGAGTGGATAATTGTTTATAAGACATTATCTGAGCAATAACAAAGCAACAATCACTTGAAATATATGGTTTTAGAATTTGCATGAAACACCTACTTGGAGTAAATCTATACTATTAATTCCAGCATGGATACTGTACCTTCCAGCTCACTATCCTTATCCAGGATTTGCATTCCAGCCAAACTGGTTTACCTTGTAACTAAAGACTACCCTTTCCTCAAGATCTAAATTAGAACTCAACAATATCCATGAAATATTGCATTACCATCGTATTTGAAAATTCACTACTATTTCTGCAGAAATTTGGACCATATCATGTTCATTTTTGTATCTCTAGCTTCTTGAAGAATGGTTGGAATATTTCAGTTCATTGTACATTTGGTAGACTGAAATAAATGATAATTCAAATTCACTGTAATCAGGAGCCATACTATACTATATACTTCTCTGAACTTTCCTTTTGACATGCATATAGTATGTCCTAAAATATATATCATAGATGAATGGGTTTATTGGCTTTTATAATTGGGGTAGGTGGGCTGCATCCCCCTCTTCCCATGGTTTATTGTTACACCTTTACTGAATTTATTGTGTAAATATATTTTACATAACTCATCTGAATTAGTTTTACCTCCTGGACAACCATAAAAGTTGTACTACTATGGAGATTGCTGTTTATGAAATGTGAAATAAAACACAAGAGATCAGAAACACTATGTATTATTCCTCAGAACTTTCCAAAGTGTATATAGACTTTTTCAAAGTCTTTTTGTTTAAACCAACATGTTCATTTTGAAGTTGTTTTAATTGTAATAAATAAAAAATACTGGTCTTTAAAAGTATTGGCTTACATAGTTTAAATGTGTTTTTCAAATATAAAGGTTAAAACACGAGCACAGAGAAAACACAAGATGACCCAGTGAAAAGAATCAATAACATATTGATCAAAAATAACAATTAATTTGTAGCTTAAATGTTAAATTGGATTTTTAATCATGATTCTGCTTATATTTACATCTTGTCTGATTTTCTTGTACTTTTATTAATCACTAAAACGAATTATAGGAGCAATGCTTCAATGCTTTGGTTCATTGAGTTCCTCTTTTTCCAAAGATTTTTGTTTTTATTTACAAATTCTTGAAAATGAAGAAAATACTAGAAAAAAATGAACATCTCTAAAGGGTATTGTGCCAGAAGAAAATTGCCCATACTATGTATAAACTTTCATTCTCTGCTCTGTCCATAAAAATAGCTTATCCTTACAGAGAATACAAAGCCAGTAAATTAGTAGGGTATGAACAGAGGTAGAAGAAGGACTCTACATCTTTATATGTTTGTTTTTGTTTTTTTTTGTGGTTGTTCTTGCTGTTGTTTTGATACTATATATATTTAAACCTTGTACTTCTTTATTCCGTACTTTATCTCTCGCTCCTCCTCAAAGTCATCCCAAATCACTGTATAAATACAGTTGTCTAATCTTGCAAGCAGCTTAGGGTCTCTCTCAAATCACTAGCCTTGAGGAAAATGAATACACCTGCCAGAACCTAAAGAGAGTTTTGAACCATAAGTATAAATCGCTCTATAGTAAGATATCAGTTTCTTTTTAATATACAAAAACTTTTATATGTTTCTGAAAATCACACATTGTCAAATTAAAGCAAAGATACAATTAATTATTTGCTTGTAACAAGGATTTTGTGCCACTTGTCAATTAATTGTCCTACTTCATTTACCCTTCCTTTCCTCTTCTGGAAAAAACAACAACAACAAAAAAGGAGCTGGGAACATTAAATGTTCTTCCTAGCTAGCATGATGTTAAGCTTTGTCAGTAAAGGGTTAGAGCCGTTGCCAGAGATGAAGGTTTTCTTTCCTAGTTCTGATGTGTTCTCTAAACAGTCTCCTGCAATGTGAGCAGCTTCTCTGTCACTAAGCACTCAGAGTGTGAGCAGCTTCTGCAGTATCTGGCTTCTGCAGCACCATGGCTTGCAGTGCATGACTGCCTGCAGCACTCAGTGGCCAGAAGCTTCCCCTAGGAATCTGCTTAAGTAGTCTCGTAGAAGAGTGTCCCTTCCAAGATATATTGACATAAACACCATTCCTCAACACTGTACAGTGTAGATTTCCAGCAAGTACCAGAGGAGAGAATTCCAGTAAATTCCGCCAATGCACTACCACAGTGACTTCTTTGCCATTCAATGAGCCATAATTATACGCTATTCAGCAAGATCTAGATCTCAGCTTTAGGGTGAGTGGGCTCTTCTGTAGTTGTTTTATCTCAGTCCTATGAGTAAAGTTTGAGTAAAGTTTGTTCCTTATATCTGCTATTCCTATATTTTTTTGACTTCTCTTTATTATGTACTTGCTAATGCTGGATTATCTAAAACTACTGTTATAGTTAATAATTTTATATTAAACTTTTCCTGTTCAAATTAAGGTATAATTTCTGTTTTGACAGGACCATGATTGCTAGTCTTCCACAAAGGGTTGGAAGAAATTTACATATATATTAAAGGTCAAAATTAAGATTTGAATATTTTGAAGAAAGAAAGTAGTGGTTAGGCAAATTAAAAAACTGAGGAGTAATATTAACGCACAGATAACATGCCACACAGTTATGTACAATTACTAAATGGCTGTACATTTAAGCTAGTGGTCAAAATTTAAAAAGAAACATGTTCAACTTTAAGATTTACAGTGTCCACAGTTAAAGATCAATCCAGCTATCTAGAAACATACTGTTTAATTTCAGAACAACCTTGTGAACATTGTTAAAACAAGCCAAATAGCACATTCTGTACACCTCTTCTTTAGAATACTTGTTTGAGTGGGTAAAACACATGATGGTAAAGGTCGGATCAGGAAAAAAAAAAAAAAAAAAGCTCTATAAGTAGCCAATAAAATGTGGTTCAAGTGCATAGTCTCCAAGGGCTGCATTGGAACAAGGGTAAAATCTCAACCATTTAAAAACTGGACAGCGCCCCCCCCACCCCTCCCCATGTACTTCAGGCAGCCTCTGTCACAGAATTAATACAATGATTGGCAAAGTGTAGGAAAGGTTATCATCCCTAGTAAGAACCTTGAATTTTGATTCTGTGTTCACAATTAAGGCAGATTCTCAAGGGTTAAAATATGTGCCTGTAGAGTTCTTTTGTGTTTTGGCTTTGTAGTTATTTTGGTTTGCTTCTCTGAAATGTTTTCTGAAATTATTCATCGGACTGGGGTGTATTAGTCTGTTCTCATGATGTTATGAAGAAATACGAGACTGGGTAATTTATAAAGAAAAAAGATTTAATTTACTCACAGTTTCACATGCCTAGGGAGGCCCCAGAAAACTTAACAATCGTGGTGGAAGGCACCTCTTCACAGGGCAGTAGAAGAAAGAATGAATGTGGAGTGAAGGGGGAAGCCCCTTTTAAAACCATCACATCTCATGAGAACTCACCAACCTGAGAAGAGCACAGGGGGAAACTGCGTCCATGATTCAATTATCTCCACCTGGTTCTACCCTTGAAATGTGGGGAATATGACAATTCAAGGTGAGATTTGGGTGGGGATACAAAGCCAAACCATATCATTCTGTCCCAGCCCCTACCAAATATCATGTCCTCACATTTAAAAACACAATTGTGCCCTTCTAACAGTCCCCCAAAGTCTTAACTCATTCCAGCATTAACCCAAAAGTCCAAGTCCAAAGTCTCATTTGAGATAAGGCAAGTCCTTTCCACCTATAAGCCTGTAAAATCAAAGGCATATTAGTTACTTCCAAGATACAGTGGGGGTACAGGAATTGGGTAAATGCGTCCATTCCAAATGAGAGAAATTGGCCAAAACAAAGGGGCTATAGGCCCCATGCAAGTCCAAAATCTAATAGGGCAGTCATTAAACCTTAAAGTTCCAAAATGATCTCTTTTGACTCTATGTCTCACATTCAGGGCACGCTGGTGCAGGAAGTGGGCTCCCATGGCCTTGGGCAGCTCCGCCCCTGTAGATTTGCAGGATAAAGGCCAGCTCCCAGCTGGTTTCACAGCTGGGGTTGAGTGTTTGCAGCTTTTCCAGGTGCACGGTGCAAGCTGTTGGTGGATCTATGATTCTGGGATCCAGAATATGGTGGCCATCTTCCCATTTGGAAGGGAAATGTGGAGTTGAAGCCCCATATAGAGTCCCCACTGGGCCATCGCCTAGTGAGCCATGAGGGCTCCACCCCTGAAGCAGACTCTGCCTAGACATCCAGGTGTTTCCATACATCCTCTGAAATCTAGGCAGAGGTTCCCAAACCTCAATTCTTGACTCCTGTACACCCACAGGCCCAACACTATGTGAAGGTCACCAAGGTTTGGGGCTTGAACCCTCTGAAGCAATGGTCTGAGGAGTACCTTGGCCCCTTTTAGCCACGGCTAGAGCTGAGGCAGCTGGGATGCAGGGCACCATGTCCCAAGGCTGCACAGAGCAGGGTGTCCCTGTGCCCAGCCCATGAAACCATTTTTCCTTCCTAGGCCTCCAGGCCTTGGATGGGAGGGGCTATTGTGAAGGTCTCTGACATGCCCTGGGGACATTTTCCCCACTGTCTTGGTGATTAACATTCACCTCCTTATGCAAATTTCTGCATAGGGCTTGAATTTCTCCTCAGAAAATGGGTTTTCTTTTTTTTTTTTTTTTTTTTTATGAGATGGAGTTTTGCACTGTTGCCCAGGCTGGAGTGCAGTGGCACGATCACGGCTCACTGCAAGCTCTGCCTCCTGGGTTCACACCATCCTCCTGCCTCAGCCTCCCAAGTAGCTGGGACTACAGGCGCCTGCCACCACATCTGGCTAATTTTTTGTATTTTTAGTAGAGACGGAGTTTCACCGTGTTAGCCAGGATGGTCTTGATCTCCTGACCTCATGATCCACCCACCTCAGCCTCCCAAAGTGCTGGGATTGCAGGCATGAGTCACCACACCTGGCCGGGTTTTTCTTTTCTATTGCATCTTCAGCCTGCAAATTTTCCCAACATTTATGCTCTCCTTTCTCTTGAAAGCTTTACTGCTTAGAAATTTCTGCCACCAGATACCCTAAGTCATCTCTCTCAAGTTAAAAGTTCCACAGATCTCTAGGGCAGGGGCAAAATGCCACCAGTACCTTTGTACAGCAAGAGTGATCTTTACTTCACTTCCCAACAAGTTCCTCATCTCCATCTGAGACCACCTCGGCCCAGACTTCGTTATCCATATCACTATCAGCATTTTGGTCACAGCCATTCAACAAGTCTCTAGGAAGTTCCAAACTTTCCCCCATTTCCTTGTCTTCTGAGCCCTCCAAACAGTTCCTACCTCTGCCTGTTACCCAGTTCCAAAGTTAATTCCACATTTTCAGGTATCTTTACAGCAGTACCCCACTTAATGCAGTACCAATTTACTGTATTAGTCTGTTCTCACGCTGCTATAAAAAAATACCTGAGACTGGGTAATTTATAAAGAAATGAGGCTTAATTGACTCACAGTTCTGCATGGGAGGCGAAGCCCCAGAAAACTTACAAACATGGCAGAAGGCACCTCTCCACAGGGTGGCAGGAGAGAAAATGAGTGTTGAGCAAAGGTGATAAATGATATATGTAAGTATACATATCCTAACATATATATAAAATAAATAAAACCATCAGATCTCGTGAGAACTCACTAACACGAGAACAGCATGGGGGAAACCACCTCCAAGATTCAATTATCTCCACCTGGTCCTGTCCTTGATACGTGGGGATTATTACACTTGAAAGTGAGATTTGGGTGTGGATACAAAGCCAAACCATATCATGGGGAAAGGTAATGCACATGACCATAAAACTGATTGTTATTAGGTCTTCCGCAGGGAGTTAATTCTGAGTAACTAAAATGAGTTATCAGTAAATCAAAATCACTTCAAATAAACTCACACTTAAGTGATGACTAATAGGGGAGAAAAGATTATTTTAGAATGTTTGAGGCACTGTCAGACTTGGAGAAAAAAAAGACTTCATTCACTATGTCCTTTTCCTAGGGAAAGAAAGAAATTTACTTATAAGATATTTATACTACCCTTTTATATCTTTCAATACTATATTTCTGCTATTGCCACTTATATCTTAGAGCCATTTTCTGCCCTTAGCTTCCAGTTATAATTTCTATAAATATCACTTAACATTTGGGCACCAATTTTACATGGAATTGATGGTTTTTCCACTGTCTCATAGTTGTGATCCACAAAACCAGGGTACAAATCAAATATGATATATGTGCTTCATTGCTACTATGCACTCATCTTCTGAACAATAAATTCCTACCCCCTTACATAGTGTTTACATTTAGCAAATATACAACTATGCATTGTTAATTAAAAGTGATTGTGTAAGAAGTACAAATGCAGCAAACATAAAAAAATCCACAATAATTTGCTTCAAACAAACCTTCCTGATAATCAAAATGAGAAACATCAGTCTTATCTAATTATGATGACTACCACATACTAAGTTTGAAAAACAAATATATATGTTAGGATATGTATGCTTACATATATCATTTATCACTGGAGGTCTTTGAGTAAAAAGAACAAGAGAAAAAGAAAAACATCATCAAAATAAAAACTGCATATCTATAGCAAAAAGTAAAACAGCAATCAAATCAAAACAAAAAATCTAAAAGCAACAACAAAAAATTATTAGAAGATCCATGGAAACACTGAATGCTCACAGTGCGTATTTGATTTGAATTATAACATTATTTTTATATTGTTTTCTGGATTATTTGCGACTTTTTCCTTTTTTTCTCTTGTTTTTTAAAGTATACCTAAGTCGACGTTTAAAATCTGACAACCTAAGAAAGTTAAAGGAAATATTGATAACAAAGATGAGTCTGGTGAAGTAAGTATCTGTTATTAGATAGATGATGAACTAAAGAAAGATTTTAATGTAAAAGATGGAGAGAATTCAATAAAAAAAACTGATACGTGAGAAATGGAAATGAAATCATAAAAGTTCTGGACTTCATAGAGGAAATCTTCAGAAAGAACATGTAGTAAGAAGCAAGGTCAAGATCCTGAGGGAGACTTCTGAGATGCTAAGTGGCAAAGCTCAAGGTCTCCTGATCAGAACCAAGGGGACACTGCCGCAGGCCAGATGGGGTGCTCCACTGACAGCATGCACACACAGCCCATGCATACATCTGTCCCAGTGTTCTTTAAATGGAATGGAAATCATTTTTTTACTAATATATATGTCCCAGAAAAGTATAATGGTTTAAGTAAGAATCCTCCTTTGATCACCAAGTTGTGACATAAGATAAACATTCAGTAAGTGTTGGTTAATACATTAATAATTAAACGAATGAATGAATAAAGCCTTTGTAATATCAGCTAAGAACATATTGGTAAATAATTTACTTGAATGTAAAAGTATGCTACAAATGGGGGAACAGTTTCAGAGGGAACGAAGACACCCCATTGTAAAGAATTAAATCAAATTAAGACTAACACATAATAAACATAATATTTCACAAAATAGGCTGGGTGCAGTGGCTCACACCTGTAATCCCAGCACTTTGGGAGGCCAAGGCAGGTGTATCACCAGGTCAAGAGATCAAGACCATCCTGGCCAACATGGTGAAATCCCATCTCTACTAAAAATACAAAAATTAGCTGGGTGTGCTGGCGTGCCTGTAATCCCAGCTACTCGGGAGGCTGAGGCAGGAGAATGATGATTATCAAGAGGCTGGGAAGAATGGCAGGAGAGATGAAGACGGGTTGGTTAATGGGTACAAAAATACAGTTAGTTAGAAGGAATAAATTCTGGTGTTCAATAGCACAGAAGAGTGACTACAGTTATCAGTAATTTATTGTATATTTCAAAATAAGTAGAAGAAAAGATTTAGAATATTCTCAACACAAAGTAATAATAAATGTTTGAGGCAATGAATATCCAAAATGCCTTGATTTGATCATTAAACATTATCTGCATGTATCAAAATATCACATGTACCTATACATATTTATAATTGTTTTTATCAATAAAAATTTAATCATTATGATGGGCAGGTGTCTATAACAATATTAAATAGATCTCTATAAAGAAAATAATTTTATTCCAATAACTGCAAACAGATTCTGTGAGGATGGATGATATACCTAAACTTATCACACCTTCCATGGTTGTACATTAATGCATTTCTTTCTTTAAGATGGAGTAATTTAACTCTCACGCTGAAGGATTTCTATACATAAACACACATATCTCTATTTATAGTGAGCAAACAATCACCTTAAAGTTACTGGGCAATGGAGAAATCTGCCATTTATTGGAAACATAAGAATGCAATGAATTTCAATTTATATGTGAGATAAAGAACAAGTTTTAATTTGAGGTGATTAAGTCACCCTTCAGTTTGTTATAGAATAAATCCAGTGTTCTACTGTGATTAGACAAAGCTACTTTCCTTCATTTTTTTCATATTGAGCATTTATGGTTAATAACACTCATAAAAAAAATCTATAAATAGACACAGCACTATGACACTAATGACTCAGCATTTGTATAGTGGCTTGGAAATGTACTGCAGAATGAGAAAATAAGTTACAAGTCCATTGCCATCACTTCAAGTTTACAATTAACTCAAGAAATAAGAAAATCTGGTTTTTTTTTTTTTCACAGTTGAAATAAGAAAAACATTATAGGCTGTATAAATCATGATATGTTCACATACTGAAAATATACTTTTGTTGTTCAGGAATTAAATTTAAAAAAAAGCACTAACTAACAAATATATTTAATATGAATCCTGAATTCAAGGTTTTGTTGCCTTCTGGCCTAGGACAGCCTTTCACTCCTAGTTCTGATTCTGATAACTACTCTACCACAGTTCCTCTGTCATATGCAAGCAGGCACTATAGTTTTAACAGGACAGGGAACTCTTTTGATTATGATGGGCAGTAAGGCCAGTGTCAATATTTTAAATGAAAAAAATGATTGTCAATTTTGGATTGGGAGAAAGGGCAAATTTATTAGTAATTTATGCTCACATCCTAAATATGCCAGGTTTCAATAAATCTATTTCATTCACTCAACAAATATTCTTTTTTTTTTTTTTTTTTTTTAGATGGCGTCTCACTCTGTCACCAGGCTGGAGTACAGTGGCACCATCTAGGTTCACTGCAACCTCTGCCTCCCAGGTTCTAGCGATTTTTCTGTCTTAGCCGCCCTAGTAGCTGGGATTACAGGCGCGTGTCACCACGCCAGGCTAATTTTTTGTATTTTTAGTAGAGACGGGGTTTCACCTTGTTGGCCACGATGGTCTCGATCTCCTGACCTCATGATCTGCCTGCCTCGGCCCCCCAGAGTGTTGGGGTTACAGGAGTGAGCCACCACACCCGGCCTAACAAATATTCTTTAAGAGCTTCTATGTGCCAGATATTGTCTCAAAAGTCCACAAGTCAAATCCAGCTTATAGTTAGTTTTCATAAATAATGTTTTATTGAAATAGCTCCACACCAATTCATTTACATATTGTCTATACCAGCTTTCAGGCCACAATGCCAAAGTTTAATTGAGACAGAGACTATATGGCTTATAAATCCTAAAATACTTACTGTCTGGCTCTTTGCTAACCCCTTGTCTAGCAACTACAAATATGTTGTTGAGCAATGCAAACCTCTGTCTTCTGTCACTTACATATTGGCTGGGGTGGACAGATATTAACCATAGGCATATAAATAATTAGATAGTATCATGTATTAGAAGGTATGAAAATGCTATGCAGAGAAAAAAAAAGCAGGATAATAGGAATGAAACAAGTGGTGTGGGGGACAGGTTGCAACTTTAAATAGTGTAGAGTAGTGAAGTTGAGGAAGGTAACATTTGAGCAAATTTTTGAAGGAAGGGGGTTAGTAACCATATGTAAAATTAATTGGGGGAAGAATGTTCTAGTCTAAGAAATGAGCTAAGGCAAAATACCCTAAGGAAGAAGCATGCTCTGTGTGTTCAAGGAACAATAAGAAGGCCAATGTGGCTGGAGTGGAATGAGGGAGGGGAAAGTAGTCTTTATGAGGAATGTCTTCATTCTTTAGTGGTAATAGTATTTGCTACTGCCAGTAATTGCTGTAAAAATGTGAATCAATGCCTTAGGCTTAGATATTATTTTTTAACATGCACAGTAAAGCAAGTATAATTTAAGAACTCTGAAGTTTAGTAATACCCAGTTGCTACATATCTGTCTTCCTCTCTTTCTCTCTCTCTCTATACATATATATATATATTCTCAATCTATATCTATGTATATATTCTCTATCTATCTATCTATATATACACAACACACACACACACTGGAAGATATATATATATACATACACACACACACACAAACAGAGGAAGGAGATTTGAATGGTGGTACAATTTATAATAATATATTGGAGAATGTATAGTGTGTAATAATATACGAGGTCATAGAGTGCTTGACAAATACACAAAATCTTGAAAGATTGGCTGAGTCTCAAGAGTACTGAAAATATAAAAAATATACATTTTATATTGTTACCTTTAAGCTTCTAGTGACTAAGTAATGTTATTAGGCTCATCAGATAGTTAAATTTTCTTAAAGGAGTGCAGTAATAATTACAGAACAAAGAAACTGACAACAACACATAGATTTTATGCCCAAGGAGGGAATATAACTAGCACTCTCTTGGAATAGATTAACATGACCAAGAAATAAAAAAGATTTGTTTTTAAAAAATGTTTTGTACCAAATGGCTTGACCAGATATACAATAACAAGGCATACGGAAAATCCAGCAAAAGTTGAAGGAAGGGACGAATAGGTATGAGAGAATGATTCTGTTTATGTTGTGTGTTGTAAAATCAGAAAAGTTCCACAATACACCAAAAATATAATCCTCTAGAAAATACTTGGATGTTGAGATAGGAAAAAAATTAATCTGAAGAATGAGTCAAATCTTAAAAATTTTAAATCATTTTCTAAAGCATTAAGAGCAAAATGATACCCAACTCATAAATTAATGCAGGTTAAGAATATTTTGCATTTGAAAAGTGCTTTAAACTATTTGAGGCCTAACTCTTAGTTTATTACCAGTTTCTCCTGTAACCACATTTTAATGCAGCAGATCAAAGAGCCACCTGAAAATCCGTAGGAATTACATTTACTGGATGCAGAATGGAACCAGTTTAGCAGTAAATAGCCACAATGTTACACACACTTTTTTTTTTCACTGACTCATTTAAGCCTTACCACATTACATGAAGTAGATACTATTATTACCTTTGCACTGCAGATGAGAAAACTGAAGAAATGAGAGGTTATGTAACTTGTAACTTACCCAAGGTCATGCAAATAATCCGTGGTGAAAAGTTGGGCCTTAAACCATCCAGTGCAGCTCTTAAGGGTTATTTATTAACCTGTGCTGACTCTTTTCAAGAGATGTCATCCCCTTCAAACTAAGTCTAGAAATGGCTTTCATGTGCTCTGCCAACCTAAAAGCAATTTCATAGTTCTAACAAGCAAAAGCCTCCTCACACATGTTTTTTGAGTATTGACTACAAACATGATAAAAACTGTAAATTTTTGGGAGAAAGGGAACCATTAATAATGCAAGAATGACTTTGTGAACTGGCATTGTCTTGGACAAACCAGAATACGGTTACTCTAACCATGAGGGTTCTTTGAATGACCCACTCCCTTTGCATTAGTTCCCTGAGAATCCCTGCCTATACCTTACCAGTGAACTGCATCCTTCTTATACATCTCTTTCCTGAAGGAGCTATTTTTCCTAACATTAAGCCCATTTCTTACTATTTCCTGCTTCATTTTCTGATGGTTCTCTTCAATGATCAGACATGTCAGGTCAATTACTACAGTCTCTTTTCTGCACATCCAAACCCATGCCCTATTGAACATTCCCAAATTTCCTCCTCCTTCCCTTTCTGACTCCAGTGCTGACTAAATTAGACCAGTTTCCTGTATAATCCAGATGTTGCTTCATCCCTGGACTAATCATTTCTGTACCCATTTTTGCATCTACATTCCCACTACTTTCCTATTTACTCTCTCCCTGAGAAGTTCTATCAAATTTCAACAGCAACAGATAGCCATAGAACTCACCCAATCAAGAAATTAAAATTTGAGCATACAAAAACCACTTTCTGTCTAACTTGTTCTTGACAAAGAAAAAATAACAAGAATTTTAATGAGATTATTAATGTAATAAACAATTGTCATTTTAAAAGACAGAAGAAAATATATGTTTTTGCTTTCAAAATAATTTTGCTTTGTTTAAAGATGTTTTGAATAAGAAACTAGTGAGAATAAGCTATGTTGACTAACAAATTAGTCCAGTCAAGGCTAATGAGGTGGAGTAATTAACATTTACTGAGCATAAACTAATGCCAAGCTGTGTTTTTTAATGGGAAAAAAAAAACAGAGAAATCAGTAAATACGTCAATATGCAGGAAAAGGGAAATATGAAAAGACAGACAGCAGAATGTAGATTAAACACAATAAGTTCCTATTTGTGAGTCATGCCCAAATTCTCATTCATTGGGCAACTTATAAGAATTAACTGAGAAGAGAAACCACAGTTTTTTACTTTGGAGTTTGGCTTATTGTTAGAAATAATGAATGAGAGTCAGACACACTTCCAGAGTACCAAGACAACACTCAGAAGAGGAATAATACAGCTTCACCTTGATTTATAATGTGAAAAGATTCAACCTAGCTTTTGAAAGTCTACAGAATAGAGAGAAGCACAGGTAAAGAAGAAAACTGCCCTAATAAACAGTTCTAATAGAAAATGTTTCCTGACCCAGACTATGTCAGGGAAAACATGCAAAATATTTTCTTCTTCTTCTTTTTTTTTTTTTTTTTTTTTGAGACAGAGTCTCGGTCTGTCGCCCAGGCTGGAATACAGTGGAGCGATCTCGGCTCACTGCAAGCTCTGCCTCCAGGGTTCAAGCCATTCTCCTGCCTCAGCCTCCCGAGTAGCTGGGACTACAGGCATCTGCCACCACGCCCGGCTAATTTTTTGTATTTTTAGTAGAGACGGGGTTTCATTGTGTTAGCCAGGAGGGTCTCGATCTCCTCACCTCGTGATCTACCCGCCTCGGCCTCCCAAAGTGCTGGGATGACAGGCGTGAGCCACTGTGCCTGGCCAAATATTTTCTTCTTTATTAAGCATTGTCTTCTATGTTTGTTTCTACCCTTGCTGCCACATTCCTGCTTTCTTAAGAATGAGTTATCTAAGTCACAAACTAATATTTTAATAAACTTTGTTTTTCAGAAGACATGCCATTCTCAAGCTTCTACATTGGCTGAGGTTTTCAGATACTGATCTTATCTGCCAAAGTGCAGGAAAAGCATCATTTAGTGACAACTTACTCTAGCTGCTGACTCAGTATCTCTAGAATACAGGTAAAAATCTCAAAAATCTCAATCAGGACATGTCAGGGCATGGTGTTTTAGAGCTGTAGGGAATCTTAGGTAATCTGCTTTATGTAACTATTATGCAATACATGATACTGTCTACTTGCAATTTTTAGAAGTTGTTTTAAGAGGTTGAAAATTTTTTTCTGCCTTCTTATTCAGATGTCATTTTACCAGCCTGAAGAAGAATTTACTCTCTGATGAGAAATGCCACAATTGCCAGCAAAATTCACAGTGACTTGCATACAAGGTTATAACTATTAAAAAAAAAAAGAGTAAGGAGCTTTACAGCTTTCATGGATGAGGGTGCTTCTTGCTGCAATATAGTGTTTTCCCTCTGTTGATATGCTTTAAGCTATATGCATAGGCACTGTAGTGAGGACATAAAATATATGAACTATGAAACATTTTGAATATTGACATTTTCAATTATTTTTTAATACTCATAAAACCTTACTCCTGAATTTGCTGAAATGCAGGGCGGTCTACTTCAGTTCATTAGATACCTAGTGGGAGGATGTAATCACAAAGCTAGAAAAATGTGAAACACTCCAGGCTAGACATCTTAGGCTAATCATAATGTAGGAAAGTTCTTCAAGGATTTGAGCACACAGCACTTCATAAATAGTACTGCTACCAATTAATTTCTCTAAAATGAAGATTACAGATTTCCCATGGTGAAATTAATGTCATAGAGTTAACGTCTTTTGTAATAGAAAATGGTTATTTTGTCGCCTTTCTAATTCTGAATTAAGATACAACCTTTCTCCTCATTCTTCTCCACCCACACACATTTAATATTAGATATTGGTAGAACTATTTAAAATTTTTCTCTCTACTAAAATAAAGGATTCTCTTATTTATGAAAATAAATAGTTGATGTTCATTTTAATAGCAGATGTAATAAAACAATAAATTGCAAGTTACTAAAGCAGCAGATATCAAAAGAATGCTATAAAATAAATGCTATGTTATATGGATTATATAACATATATTGTATTATATTTACTTGATTATATTTATATAATTACACAGTCACATTATTATATTAATTTATTACAATAACTTCAATCCCATCTACTAACTTAGAGACCAGAATATTGACTAATGACTAAAAGATGAGAGAATAAATATACAATTCATGTATCAATCCTTTATACTTCCCTTTGGGGGAACCATTTTCTTTCTCTTCTAGTGTCCCCATCTTAAATTTTAAAGTATGAACTTCTACCCTTTTAGAAGAATGGGAGAAGAATTTTTAGACTTTGTTCTATCTTCTGCACCTTTACTTCAACAACAGAAGTGCCTTAACTACTTGGTAAGATTGGGCAAAAGGATGAAATATGAAAGCTCAGCCTTTCCAATAGTCTCTCTTTTAGGGTAATTTGATCTGTAGATGTGGGCTTTCTCTTCTTGCTCCTCCCTCCAGATAAACACACTTAAAGCAGGGCTTAGGACCTGCTTTCTAGAAACAAGTCACCTGTCTTTGTAGTTCCACTGTTGGGTCTTGATGGGTACGATGCAACAATGAAGCTGTAGCAAGTTCAGTTGGCATATGCTCTATAGATGTAACACATGGTGAAGGCACAGTTCCATGCCCTATCCCATATTTAGTTTTCACTTGTTTCATAACCTGTAGTTGAATCTGAAACTTTATAAAAAGCTCACTCACATTTGTTTACTGAAACATGCTCTGCTTAATTAAATTATGTTCTTACACGTTTGATAAACTTATCTAAGTGTGTGATAGAATTAACTGAGACATTTATTAGATGATACTAATTGCTTACCTTTGTATTTGTTTAGATTCTCAATCTAGATAATAGGCTTCTTAGACAAAGATCATAATAATATTTCTCAAAGAAGTTAGCAATATAGAAGAAATGCAAACATTATTAAAAATATTATGGCGACAACTCGGTGGTGGCCACTGCGCAGACCAGACTTCGCTCGTACTCGCGCGCCTCGCTCCGCTTTTCCTCCGCAACCATGTCTGACAAACCCGATATGGCTGAGATCGAGAAATTCGATAAGCCGAAACTGAAGAAGACAGAGACGCAAGAGAAAAATCCACTGCCTTCCAAAGAAACGATTGAACAGGAGAAGCAAGCAGGCGAATCGTAATGAGGCGTGCGCCGCCAATATGCACTGTACATTCCACAAGCATTGCCTTCTTATTTTACTTCTTTTAGCTGTTTAACTTTGTAAGATGCAAAGAGGTTGGATCAAGTTTAAATGACTGTGCTGCCCCTTTCACATCAAAGAACTACTGACAACGAAGGCCGCGCCTGCCTTTCCCATCTGTCTGTCTGGCTGGCAGGGAAGGAAAGAACTTGCATGTTGGTGAAGGAAGAAGTGGGGTGGAAGAAGTGGGGTGGGACAACAGTGAAATCTAGAGTAAAACCAAGCTGGCCCAAGGTGTCCTGCAGGCTGTAATGCAGTTTAATCAGAGTGCCATTTTTTTTTTGTTCAAATGATTTTAATTATTGGAATGCACAATTTTTTTAATATGCAAATAAAAAGTTTAAAAACTTAAAAAAAATATTATGAAATATTTATATTTAAATACATATTAAATTATTAAAAATGATCAAGCAGATCATATAAATTGAATTCAAATATGTACATAACAGTAGAAAACAGTTCATTCAATTTACATATTTACACAATTTATTTTAATTATTAGACAACTGAATTAAATTGTACAACTGAAATGTTTTAAATAAATACAATAAGAAAGCTTCCAGGGTCACTTCCATTCTAATAATAAAAAAATTCCATAAAGATCACATTCACTAAAAAAAAAGTACTCATATTCTTATATTTTAAAAGTATCTTAGTTTATAGGATTTATTTTCTTATATAGATTTATATGGGATATACAAAATTACTATGTTAATGTTTAGAAGTCTTCCTTTAAATTTTGATAGACTAAAAAGATTGGGTTTTTTTTCTTTTTTATACTGAATTGCTTAAATTAATCAAAATAAACAATAAAGTGTACAGAATAGCTACTATGTGCTAGAAATTATGCAGGGCATTTTAATATGCAATTTCTATATTCCTTGATAATTCTAAAAAAACTAAGCACCAAATATCATTACTGGGATTTATCCTCAAATCTATCTTATGGTTGCCTTAAACACTGTCCCATATAATATCATCCTTACTCATGGTTACAACTACTTCTGATACATTAATAATTAAAAATTTATAACTGTAATTCTCTGCTAAGTTCCAGACCTGCAATCCAAATATCTAACAGCTATCTCAACTAAGATGTCCCATGGGCATCTCAATTTTAGTACATACAAGTATGAAGTCAGTTTTCCAAAACTGTTCTTTTAAACTCTTCCAATGTCTTAGAATATTACACTGCTGTCTCATGATTTTTTTATACTTATTTTACATAGTATAATCAACATAGACTTTCCTACTATTTATTATTTGTTTGTATTCAGTCATCGTACTAAGTACTTCAAAAACATTTTGTTTAACATAGTAATATGATGAAATAGGTATTATAATCTCCATTTTACAGATAAAGAAATAGGTTGGGAAAAGAATTTGCAGAGGGCTGCACAGGAAATGACAGAAAGCCAAGATTTCCATCCTATCTAACTAAGCAAAACAAAGGGACATAAAATGTATTGTGAATAGTGAGAAGCTAAAATTTGTAATTATGGGTAATTCAAATACTCAAAAAAAATTTCAGTCTTTCTCTAGAGTGCCTCTTAGTGCCCATATATTTTGTTTTTTGTTAACTTTGTTAAAAAGATATATACTTAGAAGAAAAATAATCACAGATTATTTAAAAGTGACAAATTCCAGAAATAAAAATTATAATTAGAAAAACATATTATTTCATTTTTATGGTTAACTGAATGTGAGTCATCTATAATACTGTTTTTCCTTATTTTTGGCTTCATATGCTTTGATTGCTTCTTAATATGACAGCAATTTTTACAATATTTTTTATAAAGATAGTAGAAAGATGATTCAGTGTGGCCTATGATTTGGTTGATTAAATTTTATTTTTATTATTAGTGGTAGATAAAGTTATTTTCAGCTTCAACTGATCATTGCAAATGCCACACTGGTACATTTTTGCTCAGTGAAGTTACTTGTTTCTTGAGAAAAACAGCGGCCAAGTGGCCAAGCAGTTTTGTTGCGATGGTCTAGACCAGGGAACAGAGCAACATCTGATTTAGATCATTCTCCTTGGAGTCAAAGTTAGGGGATGAACACTTGATGAAGTCCACCAGAGGAATGTTACCTCTGAGGTTCTGAGGGACATGAAGGTAGTGTGGGCTTCCAAGACTCCACCCAGTCCAGGGTTCAAATCAGGACTTCTGTGGCCCACACACTCTAGTGTGTGGCTGTGGCTGCTGCTTCATACCACAACTTCCTAGAAGAAAATCAAGTCTTGGAAGGGATGGGTATAGGTGAAGCTTCATGAACTTAAACTTCATTTATTTTCATAGTAAATTCACCTTTGCTGGTATTCTTAGCCCTAGAATTTGGGAATTTGTCCATATGTCTTAATTATGTACCAGAAACTCCAAGAGTGAGTCAGAGAGGGCAGTGGGGGGAAAGGTGACTCTCAAAGCAAAGCTTGTGAGTCAAAGAAGCTCAGAAGAATATGCATCTGCTCATCCATTCTAAGCTTGTTTTTTTTTTGTTTTTCTAATACAAAAGCTTTTGTGCAGTTTGTGACATTTGACTAATACATTCATTAGGATGCCAGACCCAAAGGTTAGTTTGATCTAAATGTCTGTTCTGAGTGCACACTGATCATGTTTTTGTCGTTATTATTAAAAAGATCAGGGAATGTGGGGCATGGATGTGGATGGACAGAAGTCCTACCTGTCAACTTTATTTGTACCTAAGAATTTTTTATCCAACAGTGTCACACAATTTGCACATATATCAAAAATCTCATGCTAGGTCTGAACAGAAGTCAAACTATCTCAAAATGTTGGGAATGCTACCAAAATGAGAATGTTTTCCCTAAATCCTGACATAAACTTAAGTCATATACAAGAGCATCAGATTCACAAAGCAGAGTCTCTATGCTTGTATTCTAGACTTAATTAAATAGAGTCACTGGAAATGAGCAAACACGCAGTATTATGCCCCAGACCTTGTGTTGTCCATAAGGCAAACATTTCACAATGGCATGAGATTCTGTAGACTGCAGCAAAAGTCTCCCAGATGTCTTGCATAGAATAAAACAATCTGGTATGATTTATTTCAGCTTGGCAAAATTAAAACTATATTCTAGTTGGAGATACCTCTCTGGGAAAATTCAATTTCCCTAAGCTGTCATCTTGGATGAAAATTCCAGGTGCTATTGAACAAAGCATTAGATGTTATCGATGATGTATGAAGAAAGAAAAAAAAAATGTCTTGCAACCAGATTTAAATAAAATATGCTCAGGGGGCAAATCCCATGTATGAACAGCACACAGTGATTCTAAACATATAGCTGAACTGAGATTAGAGCCTTGCAGTTTGGTCTCATGGCTCCACGGTAATAAATACCGTACACAGTAAAAGAGGCCTTAAATATGAAGTGGCAAATACGTCCAATAGCATTGCATTTAGAAGCTCAAATATGAGCTGTAAGCAATTACATTAGTTTGGAAAAAGGTAAAATTATTTTATTTTATTTTATTTCATTTTATTTTAATTTTGAGACGGAGTTTGGCTCTGTCGCCCGGGCTAGAGTGCAGTGGCGTCATCTCGGCTCACTGCAAGCTCCCCCTCCCGGGTTCACGCCATTCTCCTGCCTCAGCCTCCTGAGTAGCTGGGACTACAGGCGTCCACCACCACGCCCGGCTAATTTTTTGTATTTTTAGTAGAGACGGCGTTTCACCGTGTTAGCCAGGGTGGTCTTAATCTGCTGACCTCGTGATCCATCCGCCTCGGCCTCCCAAAGTGCTGGGATTAAGGCGTGAGCCACCAGGCCAGCGAGAAAAAGGTAAAATTAAAAGCCCAAGAATAAATGTTGGTAGATGCAGATGAAAAACATACTTTAAAATAAAATAAAATAAATATTAGAAACATTTGAAAAGTGGCATATCAAGTTAACTATAGACAGTTTTGTTTTGTTTTTTAAGGAAACTTGAGTGGCTTCAGGTAACTTCCAATTTCTGGAAGGCTCAATAACTGTAAGTATTCTGTACGAGAAAAGAAAATAAGATCGTGCTTACACATCTTATTCTGCCATATTATTTCCTTTGAATCCCCATTTTATTGTCGCCCTTTCCGTTACATGGGATGTACACATCAGGTGTTAAAAGGTACGATACAGTCTGCAACTAAGCACCATTTTCTGTAACTGAACACGGTATTTTTTTGAAAATTGATTAAAATGGGTTTAAATTTATTAATACTATTAAATCAGATCTAATATTTGATACTATAAGATTTAATACAGCTGTATGATGCAATTATACAAAATATAGACACAGTTCTTAATTTGTATCAGTGATAAACACCTGAAAACTGTTCACTACTACTCTTAGAATAGAATTATTATTTTTTTCTCTCTGCACTGTAAATAGCTAAGGAATTTCAACAGGAAGAGGGAGATTGTATTGAAACTATTAAATCAAGTAGCATCTAGCATCAATGTGGTGTTCATTATCAATTCTTTATTCAACTTACTGAGGGGCTAATATTTGATTTACCCTTTGAGAATGATGTGTGGAATCCTAATAACTTTTAAAAAGTTTTTTTAGCAAGAAATAAATTATTCACTTTGGATTTTATCCTGATTATTAAAAATCACCTTGTGAGTACTAGGAAGGAAAATAGGCTTGAGGCTTCCATGAGGGCTGATTGCTGGAATCTTACAGAGGACTGCCTTTAAACTGTAAAAATACACAAAAATTCATTTAAAGTTGCACACATCAAACTTCTCTTAGTCCATTTTCTGTTGCTATAAGAGAATACTGCAGACTGGGTAATTCATAAGGAAGTTTATGTAGCTCACGGTCTTGGAGACTGAAAAGTCCCAGAGTATGGCACTGGCATCTGGTATGCATCACCCCATGGTGGAAGGCCAGAAAGCAGAAGCAAACAGAGTAGACAAAGAGAGGCACCAGGGGCTGAATTAGCTTTATAATAACCCACTCTCCAATTGAATAACCCATTCCCAGTAATGACATTAATCCATTCTTGAGGGTGAAGACCAGCTGTTGGGAGGAGGGTAGGCCTCAGCTCCCAACAAAGTTGCATTGGGGATTAAGTTTTCAACACAACCAACTTTTGAGGGACACATTCAAGCCACAGGAAAAGGGTTTGTTTGTTTAATTGAGAGATTACAAATGTATTTTGTCTACTAAGAATAATGCATTAATTTATTCATTAAATATTTGAGTGCTAGTGGGTCATGAACCATTTTATACACTGGTTCTTAGGAGACTGGCTGGTAGTGAACAAACGAAATGTATTTATAGGTATGCACAAATAGCTCATCATTAAGTCTTTTATTATTGCCAAAAAAAGAAACACACAAGGAATAGGCATAATAAGATGGCCATCTGTAGGCTCCATAACTTCAGAGGCTATTTGGCACTGTCCTATTAGAGAAAGGGAAGTAGCCCTGCTATGGTTTGAATGTCTGTGTCTCCTCCAAAATTTATGTTGAAACTTAATCTTCAATGCAACTCTATTAAGAGGTGAGGCATTTAGGATGTGATCAGGCCATGAAGGATCTGCCATCATGGACAAGACTAGTCACTTATAAAAGGGCTGGAGAAAATGAGTTAGGCCCCTCTTCGTCCTTTCTTCCATTTGAGGACACAGCGCAGCAACAAGGTGTCATCTTGGAAGCAGGGTAAAAGCCCTCACCAAACACTGAACCTGCCAGTTCCTTGATCTTGGACTTCCCAGCTTCCAAAACTGTGAGAATTAAATTTCTATTATTTATAAATTACCCAGTCTCAAGTCTTTCGTTATGGCCGCACAGAAAATTAGGATAAGCCCATTAGGTTATTTGAAAAGCTGTGAATAACGAAAGACCATTGTCTTTAAAGTAACACCAATTGCTTAATATCTTCCTGCTCTCTCACAGATGACTATAAATAGGATAACATATATTGATTATCAGTAGATTTGGTTCTTCCCATTTATACATAGAAAATATATTCTTTACAAAAGTAAGCTTAGTAATTTTTCTATGGAAGAACACTATAAATAATGTTGCAATTTTATTGTTCCATAATATTCTCTTTAAGAAGTACACACCATTTGGTTCTAGAAGGACAAATCTATAAAGTGTTGACAAAGACTGGCCTTGTCAGCATCCTTTGGTGTGGATTTTTAATTGTCAAACATTTCTAATTAAAATAAGAATATGGAAAATTTCTGCAGATTTTAAACTGACAAAAGAAATAATGATCATTTGCTTAATGACTGATAAAAAATGTTTCCAAAAAACACTATTTTATTTTTTTATGGATCTCAAAGATGGTGCACATTGGTAACCTTAGTTCAGTATACATCACAAAAGAGGGATCATCAAACATTAAAAAAAGTCAACTCAAAGCGATGAAGATGCTTAAGTTCTTTAGTTTTTTAAGAAGTAGACACTTTTTCACACACTAGAAAACAAAAGCTTCATTATTTATGTAGCTTGCTCATTCACTGCAGCTCAGAAAAATATTTTCAGATATTTGCTTCTATCATCACATGTTCTATCTGTATCTACACCTATAGCTGTAGTTGAATATATACAACTGAAATGAAGAATTTTCTCTTCATTTGCAGACATTTCTACTATGGAAAGAAAACTTGAAAAATAAATCTATTAAATTTTTATTTTATTTCAAGAAGGCAATCCATTTAATATATGCTTGTTTTAATAGACAAATGATAAAAGATAACATTACTAGTAAATTGTTACTTATAACACTGAACTAGGAAAAAAAAAGAGTCACATAGTAATACCTGATGCTTGTAAAAAGACTGTCTTGCCCTTTACTCCACTAATCAGAGTTTTGAACATTTATTTTAAGAACGTAATTACACATATAAGATATATGTGATATACAATTATTAGAAAGCAAGATACAAAACATATAGCCATTATCATTTCTGCTATATAAAAATTGGAGGAGGGAGAGACATATGAATATATCAAAAAGGCTATATTGAGGTAGTGGAATATTAGGTAACATAATTTTTTCCTCTTCTCTTATTAGATAACTTTCATTTAAAAAGTTTTCAAAAATATAGTCTAAACTAAATTTTACCTAATATTTAGTCAAGGTTATTCTTTTGTGGAAAAAAAATGATATGCAAGTAATGAACATTCTTTAAGCAACATTAGTTGTTGAGATAATAACAGTCATGTTCGTAAAGTTTCAAGGATGAAATGAAGTGCTATTCATCCAACCTTAAGTTCAATTACATCAGATGGATGGCATTAAACTTGCCAAGTATCTGCCTTTTGCAACATATTGTAGATAACTCAAGTTATGTAGCCAATCTTCAACAGTGTAATAGGCATATTCTCATCTTCCTAGCAGGTTATCAATGTTTGCTAAAACAAATATGCCTTTTGTGGCAAAGTTCAGAGGAGGAAAAAATATATAAATGCTCATCAATAGAAATTATATAATGATACAGTTTTCTTAAATGACAGATTATAACAAGATAGGCTATGCAATCCAATATCTCAGTGTGCAAAATGATAGAAAATAATGAATACAGTACCTATTATTCTTCACTGTAAAAGTCAAATCCACTAAGAAAGAAAAATCAATAATCAAATACCTTTTTCAGTATTCAACCCTACCTTCCTTTCTCCATAATGGCATCTCTTCGCATATCACACATAAAGAAGTCAGTCTTCAGCAAAGGTAGTGTAGAACCACACTGACGCATATCTTAGTATGCGCATACCTTCCTACTGCTTGTTAGCTAATGAGATAGTTCATTAATTGTGCTGAACCTCAGTTCCCCTGTTTGTAATACATTGAGACTGACAGTAAAACCAACATAATGCCCAGAATGGTTGGGAACAGTAAGTGGAATACAGGCTGAGTGAAATGATTACAGATTAACATGAAAAAGGACAATGGGAAGGGAGTTTATATGGATGGGATATCTGTTATATTAGTGTTAGATATGATTCACTCCTCAGCATTCATTATTAAAATACACATATGTCACTTTTTAAATAGTAATTTAGTGTTACTACCAAAGTTGTTTGTTCATAGTCCAAGGACAATTAACAAAAGTTATACAATAGAGAAAAAAGGAAGGGTGTGTTTGGCTGCCTCAAATCTTTGGGGACTTTACTGATTCAAGTTCATCTTGTCTGGCTGTGTAATAAACCAAAAACTGCAAAATAGAGTAGGGATTGTGAATTTAGTAAAACAGAAAAATGGGCAGTTGTGTCTGTGGCAATTAGAAGAATTTTAAGGATCTCTCATTCCAAAGCAACAAAGTTCCATGAACTTAAATAGCTCAGAAATCCCCATAACCATCAAATTGACTGGTCTCTATTTGCTTTGTTCCTCTCAGTGTCATACTCCACAAGTCTGTGTATGCTATTAACAGTGGGAAATAATTTGAGTGAAGGAACCTTACACTGAAGCACTTTTTGCTTCTCCATAGCAAACATAGTAAAATTTAATTTGCATATGCTTAGATTCTTTAAATGACATTCTGCAGCTTTGAGAAATTTATTTAACATCTTTGAGCCTTGGTTTCCTCAATATAAAAGAAAAATTACGGCCAAGGGTGAGGTAAGATACACAAGTAAATGGCATAGCATAATATTGACACATAGTATGAACAATTATTTGCTTCATATACTTCTCAACATTTTATGCTGTAGTTAAGCATGAGCGGAGCAGGAGAGGTCTCTCCCCGACTCACTAGAAATGTCCGGTGATGGTTTGGCAATTATCGTATTGCCTCTCTAGAAACGATAATTTGGCTGTCAGGGAGAGAATCTCCTGATGGTCCACACAGGCTAACATTAGAAGTGTTAATTGAATGTAGGCCTCAGGGAGAAGCAGCTTCTTGGGCATGAGTGTTAACAGTCAAAATGGCGAAGTGTGATGTTTCAAGAACACATGCTACTAGAAAAAGGAAGGAAGCCTCAGATAGGCATGCATATAACTCCCTAAACACACTGAATGTGCTCAATTCCAAAAGGTAAGGAAAGCACTGCATATGCAGGAAGCCCACCCTAAGGAAAGAATTACGGGAAACAGACCAGCCTATAAAGTTCTAGGATCAAGGTTAAAGATCTCTTTTTTTGCTGTCATCTACTCTCTCGCAGACCTTCAGGTGTGCACTTGGGTCCCTTCCAAGCAAATTTTCCTTTCTTTCATGTTCTAAAGACTTTTTAAAGAAACTTCCACTCCTGCTCTGAAACTTGCCTCGCTCTCTTTTTCTGCTCTATGCCCCTCAGTCAAATTCTTTCTGAGGCGGCAAGGACTGAAGTTACTATGGACCCATACAGACAGGCTGCTGTTAACTCATGGTAACTTGGATCTCTACCACCACTAACAATACTTTCATCAATATAGGTTATGAACATGTTTGGCATTTTAAATTTATTTTTACTCTTTCATTTGTACTTATGTTTTAGCGTAGCTGTTTTTTTCTCCAGTCTCATTAACTTCCTACCCATAGCTATTTTCTATTATGAATTGTTCACATTATAAACCATTCTATCTAAAAAATCAGTTTTTTAAGAGAGGCTTCAAATTGTATTATTTCACTAAGATGTTTTTCTGGTGAAATGAAGAGAAGCAGATGATCTTAGCACTTCCTAAATTTTTGAAAAGTTTTCATGGTTTTGTTGAACGTTGTTTCCTTAGTTTTTCTTTGTTTTCTACAATATTTTAGATTAGAATCAATTTTAACTTTACCCTATCTTTTTACTTCTATAATTTCTCTTGACTACTTGTCTTTGGATCATTTCATAGCTCTGTTTTCCTCCACTTATTTTCTTGCTGTTATTTCTGGTGATACCCATTTTGCATTTAAGTTTCCTAGGTGACATCCCCACATGCTTGTTTGGCATCTAGTGGTTCCTCCAGGAAATTATATACCTAAACTCACAGTCTTTCTTTCCCCTTTCATTTCTATCTTTCATCTATATAATTTAATAATGTGACATTGTCTTGCTTTATTCTCTAAAAGTTCTCCTAACAAATGTAAGAGCAAAAAATACGATATAAATTTTATTCATTCCTTCAAATATTTACTAATTGCCTGCTTTGTTAGATATTGAGGCTATAGGAGAACAAAGACCCTATCATTAAGGAGCCCACCAATGAGAGGGAAAAACAAGTAATGATAAAGCCACATTTGACAGTAAAAAGGGAACACACAGGAAAAACACTTAAGCTCAAGCTTCTAGTGGGGATTACAACTGGTAAAATCCTCCTTTTTATTCCTTACAGAAACTATAATAGTCCTAGAATAGCTCAAAGAGTTGTAAAGTGATACGAAACTAAATTTTTAAAAACAATCTCCAGCCCATTCATTCTTGTTTTGTTCATCCACTGAGTAAAATATTTAATCAGAAGACATGATGAAATCATGCTGTTTGGATTTAGTGCTTCTCCTCACTTTTGACCATTCTCTCACTCTGTATTTGGCTGACTATGGGAGATTTCTTAGTGATATAAATAGACTTATGGATAAGTATGTAGATATTGCATTCACACATGTTATAAAAATATAAAGATACATTTTAAGTCACTAAAAAATTTGCTTTCTCAGCTGAAAGAGTTCAAAAAATGCAACTTCAAAATATGCCACTTTGGTATGCTAATTACTTCAAATTGAGAGCACTTGAGGTATGTTGGATATAGGTGGACATTTTCTCAGAGCTCCCCTTATCTGGCTAAAGACAGCTCCTCCGAAAGTAATACAGCTATTGCCAATCCTCTCCCTGAGGGCTGCATCAACCAGGGAAGATTAACTCTTATCACAGGAGAGGAAGACAAGAAGTCGGCACCACACACAGACCAACTTTGTCACAAACCACCATGTATTCTTCTGAGGGCCCATTCATTTTTTCCAAAACCATTTACTCTCCTATAAATTGCCTACATCCCCTTCCCCCTCGGCTCTATAACCAGGGTATATAAGAATGATAAATCTCACTTGGTTTTAGGGTATTCAGTTGTCTTTCCTGCAATGTTCTGGTGCACATGATAAATTTGTGTAACTATTCTCCTATTAATCTGCCCGTTGTCAGATTATTTAACAGATTCAATTATTAAACTCTCAGAGGGCAAAAGAAAATTCTTCCCTCCCCTACACAGCTTTTAGATAAGATGCTCAAATTGTTCTCTTTTCATGTCTCTGATAATGCTGTCATGATTTTACAAGTAATAATGTGTTTAACTCAAATATAAAGAGTGTCCATGAAATAGGACATGATTACTAAAATGACATTAAATGTGTCTGTGATGCCCTATGTGCTTTTTGATGAAACCCACCATTCTCACTTCCAAGGCTGGAAGAAGTGGCTGTAGGTGATTCCTCTAAAATAAATTTTTCTGTTTTGTTATCATTACCCAGTGTAATGCCTGTATAGCATAGCTAAATTGCTACCCCACCTTGACTCTCCTAATTTGTAAGAACAGGATGTCTGTGGTCTGAAGTTCCCAACCTGATCAGACCAGTTGAAACCAGTGGTATCCAAGATGGCAGCTCACTTGACCTCTGAAGAAACTCTAACTTTATTGTAATCTAATTTCCATGCTAAATGAAAGTCCCATCAGTGCCATGACAGTTAATCATCATGACAATGACCAGAAGAAACCATAAAAGGAAGGCAGCACTCTGGTTCTGAGATTTTCTCTGCCTATTCCCAGAAACTGCACGGATATTCCTCCCCTTGCTTTTAATGCTCAACACCTTAATTCAAGTAGCCTTCTATCTGTGACTTTCCAGCTCTCAGGAGCTGAGAAGTTGATTTGTGAGCTGTGCTCCCACTTCTCAATTCCATGGCCATCAAATAAAGTCTGAACTGCTTGATGCTCATTTCCAGTTTCACATAATGGCTTTGTAACACTGAACGGGGAAAGACCCCCCACTTCTGGGGGACCGGCTTTGCCAGTAACACTATCACAAGAGTTTCTGCCCTGACCACCCAAGTCTGACTGCTACTACCAGATGAATGGTAACCAATCCATAAATAGTAGCTATTATTTTTATTTCGGTATTGATATGTAGCAAAAGTGAACTGTGTTATCCTATTTTATACCACTAATATGTTTGTAATCTCTCTGTAATTTATAAATCTGTTTGATGTAACAGGGAAAATAACATGTGCGTGGAGTCAGACAGATTTTCCTCTCAATCTTAACTGTCATGTATTATGCAGAATTAAACGAATCACATAATCCCCCTGAATTTAGTTTATTATGAATGAACTGGGAGTAATAATACTTATTTCTCAATTGTATTATAAAAAGTAAAGGCAATAATAAACCTAAAGCATTCACAGTACCTGTCAAAGGTTAGGAGCTCAGTAGCTAGTGGCTGTTGTTATTAAAATTATGTAAGCCTATCTCCCTTTGCTTCCTTGAGGACAGATACCACTCTACTCCTTCATCATGTTAACACTTGCTCCAGTCAAAGTCCCCGGCTCAGACTGACTTTCAAATTTTTAAACATACTTTATTGTGAAGTAGAACATTACATGTTTATTTATATACATACAGTTAAATAAAGGAGGAGGCCATTGTTTTGGACTGAGCTTCTGTACTAGAGTCCAAAAGACTGAACCAAAATGGAGTCATTCATGTTAAGATTCCACGTCACCAAACTCAAGGTAACTTATTTTTCTGGCCTTCCAAGAAATCATGTAGAGGTGATAGCCAAATCCCAAACAAGCTAGTTTTTATTGGGCATAATAAGGAAGTTTCCTCCACTTTAACTCTTACAAGGAAAGTAACATGAAGTAACCTGATGTTAAACAATCCACTTTTTGTATTAGCTTGTTTCCTTGTTCCTATTCAAAGTACCTTATAAAAAACAATTGTTGTGCTGAGTGCGGTGACTCAGGCCTGTAATCCCAGCACTTTGGGAGGACGAGGCAGGTGGATCACGAGGTCAGGAGATTGAGACCATCTTAGCTAATATGGCGAAACCCCGTCTCTACTAAAAATACAGAAAACTCAGGAGGCTGAGGCAGGAGAATCGCTTGAACCTGGGAAGTGGAGGTTGCAGTGATCCGAGATTGCACCCCTACACTCCAGTCTGGTGACAGAGCGAGACTCCATCTCAAAAAAAAAAAAAAAAAGCAACAACAAAAACAAAACAAACAAAAAAATACCAATTGTTTTGCCATGCCCAGAGGAGGAACTTTTGTAAATCTTTATATGAGATGCCACAAATTCATAAATTGTTAATAAAAGCCAATTACATCTTTAAACTAAATTTGCTGTAATTTTGTTTTTGACGGCCCAGTTACACACAAAAAAACACATATTTCCCCTTCTGCATATTATTAATTTCCATGATAATTCAGGAACATGCGTTATATATTTTTTTCTAAGTCTTTGGCTATCATTATGTCCCACTGACTACTTAAATTGTTGCGTTTGTTAAATTACTCTAAGTACTGGAATCTTGATTAGTGTAACAAAAGAAGTATAAAATAAAGAAGATAGTTTGTAAATTGTATGACATAGCTTATATAATAAATTTAAAATATCCAAAATATTCAACTGTTTAACTTTACGTATAAATTAATTTCAACTACATGCCTAATTTGATCACAATATGGTGGAATATTTTTAACTCAATTTATGCCTTAAAGGTAAAACACCTTCCTATTGGCATTTAAATCATAGAGCAATTATTTTCTTATATCCATGCTGTACTGCAATATAACAACCCTTTGTGATAAAGACTTTAACAAATATGTACTATTGCTACAGCAAATTCCATTGAATATTAAAGATTGTATCTTTTTGGCAGCTCTTCATCAGGGTACTGGAGTGTGTAAGAAACTGGAGGCAGTCCCCATTATGTATCATAGGATACTGTCACATTCACACTCTACATCTGTCTTACAGAGCTGACTAGGAGAGTAATTACTGCTGAGATAAGCCTTTTCTGGAATATATGCAATTAATTCTCCTGAAAAAAGAAGGAAAGTAGCCTGACACTTTAATAATGTTTAAGTATACCTAATCTATTACTTTTCTGTTCGTAATGTTTCCTAAATATGAAAAAGAAAGAGGATTTGAAAGTACTTACAGCTGTCCATTTCTATGTAAATCATCCATGGAGCTGTAATATTCTATTCTAAAATGACTAGCATGAAATAATACCATAAATTATAATAGAATGTAGAGCAAGTGGGGAATTACTTTTAAGATAAATTCATGATATGATTTTCATGCACAAAGAATGTTTCTCTTATCATGCAGGAATTATTCTGTTATTAAAGTATCAAGGGCATACCATTTTATTCAATTTGAATTCTGAAAGTATCAAAATTACTCCTCTCTAGATTTCTGATAAAGTGCTAGTTAGCCATATGTATTTCTTAGTCTTTTATTTTTAGCTCACCCTTTTTATTATGCATAGTAACCTGATTACACATAATGATACACTTTCAGTTTTTCAACTGCCTTCAATTTTTTTCAAAAATCATCATTTCTACAAGTGCCTTTATTCAGTCCCATGTTTTGCTATTCAATTGTTAACAAATGAGCCGAGAACTTGCCTTACAGTTAATAAAGTAAATTACATTTGAAAAGGTTGGAGAAACATGATTGTTTACATGCTTACTTACACTCAAGTAAGAATATAATTTTCAATATTTGCTTTGAGTGAGAACACAGTAGGTTGAATAACACGAAAAGGGATACATGTTTTTAAACATTTTTTTTAATGAGGCCTGGCTTTCTTGAGTTCATATTTACATTACGGGAGGAAAAAGTGTTCAACTCAATGATGTATCTATTATAATGGATGCCTGAAAAGCTTATTTTTAACCGTCCTCTTCTAAAAGAAAAACATAGGATTAAATAATATGGCAATAAATTAATATTAATAATGGCCAGAAAAGAAATGAAGCTAGTTAAAACTTTTATTTAACTTTGTGTAAACTATATGTCAAAAAGTAAAAAGTAAATTTTAATAAATGTAATATTTGTTTAATAAAAAAAGAGTCTGCAGAAGATACAGTATAGGTAATTACTAAATCACGCTCTTGATGTAACATTTATTTTTTAATTGTGCTTTAATTTTAAAAGTAAAATTAACATTTTAAAATAAAAAATAAAGTTCAGTTTTGAAGATATTATTAAAATTCAGTAAAATATTTAATTATAAACTAAAATGTCCAAACATCCCCCCCCAAAATAGAGAGCTCACGGTTCACACACTATTCTTTTGTTTTGAATCTTAAATACAAATAAATACTCCAAATGGTTACTATTAACTGATATAATTTAAGTATCTCAAGTTCCATGTCTTTGTCTTTACAATAACTATGCTCTCATTGCTTATTTTGAAATCTATATTTGAATACATTAATAAGTAGCACCTCAAATTTTAGAAACACAAACAGTTTACAGCTAGTTGGAAGGTTCTGACTTAAGATCACAAACTTAACTCTCAAAATAAAAATGTGTGGTGGAATCGTTGAGTGTTTCAGCTCCATAACTGAAATCTCCTAGTTAAACTTCCATTTAAAAATGCATTGTTTATTAAAGGACAGGTAATTAAAAAAATGTGATAATTGAAAAAAATTTTAAAGTGTGTGGGGAAAAATGTGTGTGTGTGTGTATGTATGTGTGTGTGTGAAGTTTAAAACTTAATCATAACCTACATTTAGAATTCAGACCCACAAAAAAATCTTCTTAGGAAAGAGTCTCTCATTACCGACATGTTTTAAATTTTTGCCTCTGATAATAGTCATACATTATTCCTACAGTCAATGTATTCCCTTACTGCTTAAAAAGATGTGGTGGTGAAGGTAACTTAAATTTCACTAGCATTGAAAAGTATAGATGTTGTAATGTTAGTAAACAGAGGTAACTTAAATTTCACTAGCATTGAAAAGTATAGTTGTTGTAATGTTAGTAAACAGAGGAAGATTATGAAAGAAAACATAATAAGTATTTTTGTTTTGCTTTTTTGTTTAAATAATGTTATTAAGGGCTGTTATTAAAGTGTTTATTTTACAGAGGGCTAATAAACTTACTTTTTCAGAAAATCTATTTTGTTTTTCCGGTGACCCATTTGAATTGGACTTTTAAATAGAAACTTTTTTTTTTTTTTTTTTTTTTGAGATGGAGTCTCACTCTGTCCCCCAGGCTGGAGTGCAATGGCACGTTATCAGCTCACTGCAGCCTCCGCCTCCCAGGTTCAAACGATTCTCCTGTCTCAGCCTCGGGAGTGGCTGGGATTACAGGTGCCCGCCACCACGCCCAGCTAATGTTTTGTATTTTTAGTAGAGATGAGGTTTCACCATGTTGGCCATGCTGGACTCAAACTCCTGACCTCGTGATTCGCCCGCCTTGGCCTCCCAACGTGCTGGGATTACAGGCGTGAGTCACCAGGCCCAGCCAAAACACATATGTTTTTACAGAAATAGACATAGAAAGCTGTATCTGATACATTTTACCCCGATCGGCTAGAAAACAAATAAAAGTGTCCAACAGGAAAATTCTGAATGGTAGAAACCCCAAAAGTTCAGAAATATAAACTGCTGACAACTTACATTTAGTAATGTGATTATCCATACAAATCTGTTTAACATTTTTGAAAGTGTATATGTAAATTGTCATCCAAGTTAAAACAGTAAATTCACAGCACCGTCTACTAACCTTAATTAGGACAATTAAATTCTTCTCTTCACGGTCATAGAACTAACTAAATTTATTATGTTTTCATTTGTAATTTAACTCTAACTTACTTAAAAAATATTTTGAATTAATTTATTAATAAATACCAAATATACTTTCTTCAATTTCTGATGTCGTATGGTACACACTCTTCATCCATAGTGTAAAACCATGTATAAGATTTTTGAAACCACTGATAAGATTAATAATCATTTACAAGAACATATCCATCCCCCCAAAACACAAGACTACACTTCACCATCAACATTTATGACAAATATCTCAAATTTATTTTAGTAACCTGAGGATAATATTTACAGTGCCCTTCAGTATCATATAAGCAATAAAATTACATGGCATTCTTCAACATAACCTTCACAAAATAGCTGAGGGAAAGACACTGAAACTTTCTCAGAAGTGAGAAAAATATCTCTCTGTTTTATATCATTAAGTGTAATAAATTAAACTTATGATGCAAATATTTAAAATACCTTTTATTATAATTAATTATGATTAAGTATGCATACGTTTAGCTATTATGTTTAGACTTTTGGTCTAAATCTATAGCTCTGCTTTAAATATCTTAATAAATTAAATTAGTAAAATCCCTAAATCTTTCTGTTGGATAAGAGTGATGTATTTCTAATATTCAAAAAGTCCAATATATTCTACAACATAAATAGAACCTATATTTTAAACTATTTATCCAAACATTTAATTATCAAAAAAGTCCTCCTTTTATTTTTGATTCTGAACGTTGGTTCTTTTCCATGCCCTCAATTAGCTAATATTCTCTCCAATCACCATGATGTGTAATAATTCTCACTGAGGTGTATGTCATAGCTTTTGTTCTCATTTCCCACCCTGTTTAATAGTTCGCAGTAGTTCTTAGCAATCATCTTGTTCAGGGTTTTGGTTTGTTTGCTTGATTTTGTTCTCAGCTGTGGTTTTTCATCAAATAAAATCTTAGGAGTATAATGATATGCATTAAATAAAAACTGCTTATTGATTGAAATGATACTGTAATAAGTAATGACATGCAAAAAACAATGAAATGAGGGCTACTATCATTAAGTGGGTGGGGAATAGAAATCCACAGGATCCCTCTGCGGCCCTTATTTCCCCCAACACACACTGATCACGGAATGAAAACCATTAAACACATTGAAATTCTTCATTTATTTTCCAAAGAAGTAGTCTGGTGTTTTTCTGATTATACAAGTAATATATTTGTTATTAAAAATGACACATTACCAAATTAAAGCAGAAATTGAGCAGTCTAATTTCTCAAAGTTAAATACTATTAATTATTCTAGACTTTCTATACAATATACGTTTTTCACATCGTGTTATACAATATGCTGTTCTAAAATCTGCTTTTCCCTCCACTTAATAATTTTATAAGCAACATAGCTATAAAAATATATATAATATATAATACAGTTATATAAATATAAATATGCTATAATCTATCAAATTCACTATTGATAAATATGTAATATTTTTAATGTTATGGTCCTATGGTCTGAGTATGTCGCCCCAAATTCTGTCATTGAAAACTTAATCCCAAACAGTGTTGGGAAGTGCCACCTATGGAGAGATGTTTAGCTCGTGAAGGCTTCCATGTCATGTATATACTAAAGCTGCTATAAAACGGGCTTGCAGGAGCAGATTCATACTCTTCTGCCTTTCTATCATGTGAGGACAAGCATTCCTTCCCTCAGCTTTCAAGGCACCATCTTGGAAGCAGAGAGATGGGCCCTAACCTGCTAGCTCCTTGATCTTGAACTTAGCAGCCTCTAGAACTATGAGAAATATATTTCTGTTTTTATAAATTACCATAAATTATCCAGTCTGTGATATTTTGTTAGAACAGCACAAAACAGACCAAAACATACAGTGGTATTATTTGACAGTTGAAGAAACCAATGCCCAAATAGAGAAAAATACCTAAATCTGGTCACATAGGCAATTAAGATTAGAGGTAGGACAAGAAACTCATATCCCAATTTTCCATATCACCATATTGACTCACTCTTCTCCTCAAGTAAAGAAAGCTAAGGCCCCAGGAAGATGAAGAGAAGAAATTTTTCCTTTGCTCTATTTCTTATTTAATGCAGAGGAGATTTTGTTCTATTATAGAACAGTTGGGAGTAGATGTTCCATGCTGTGAACTAGTTTCCTCTCTGTTTACCATACTGCAAACTTCTGGCTACAGAATGTATGTCTCGTTTTCTCCAATTAGTTTCCCTAGCACATAATCCCAGGACACTGTAATATTCTAACATTTAATATCCCTTTGGACATAATAAAACAATTACAAGTGATTATTTTTATCTCGATCTGTTGAAAACAGTAAATCTCACCAAGGTAAGTAATGCATAAATATTTCAGGGATAATAAGTCTTGACTTTTTAAAATTGTTCCTAAGAGTACAAACAGCTTATTGTTTTCTTTTTAAAAAGAAGGAATAAATTGGAAGTGTGGCTATAAAATACAAAAATACATTCACATTAGAAATGCAATTAATAATCTGAATAGTTTACCCAAATAATATCAATATATAATCCTAAATCGAAATTATTATTTTCAGTTTCTCAGTGTCTTTATGCTTTGTGAAATCTACCCACCCAGCAATAAAAAAGAATTAAGGCAATGTAATAATTTTGAAATCATATGGTAGAAAAGAATAATTTTTGAAACGTGCATTTAATGCTGGAAAAAAATATATAGTAGAACTCTCTAATTTTCCACAACTGAACTTGCTAATATTAAACAGTCATGAGCACAAAGAGTATGTGCTATGTACTGAATTGTTCCCCCTGCTCCACAATTCATGTATTGAAGCCCTGACTCCCGGCGTGATGATATTTGGAGATAGGACCTTTGGGAGATGATGGGAGTTTTGATGAGGCCATGAGGTAGGGTCCTTATGACAGGATTAGTGTCTTTAGAAGAAGAGACATCAGAGGGCTCACATGATCTCTCTTTCTCCCTCTTCTCTCTCTCTCCCTATGTGCATGCACCAAGGAAAGACCATGGGAGCACATACCGAAAAGATGGCCATCTGCAAGCCAGGAAGACAGCCCTCACCACAATCCCAACACTCTGGCACCGGATCTCAGACTTCTATCCTCCAGAAATCTGACAAATAGACTTTAGTTGTTTAAGCCACCCCATCTATGGCATTTTGTTTTGGTAGCCTTAGTAGATAAATACAGTGTACAAACAGTTACATATTTAATAGCCCAAGGAAAGGTGCATCTCTTGTGCTGGAGTTTTTTGTTTTTTTCCTGGGTATCTATAAATAGATGTTTTTTCTATAACATACCATTTCATTGGGGACTACACATTTAATCTAATATCCCTGTAGCAGTGGTTCTCACCTGGAGGCAATTTTGCCCCCATGGGACATTTGGCAATGTGTAGAGGTGCTACTGGCATCTAGAGGAGAGAGGCTAGGGATGCTGCTAAACGTCCTACAATTCATAGCACAGACACAACAAAGTGCCACCAGCACTATTGTTCAGAAACCATGCCCTAAAAACAAATGACTAAAACACTTGCATTTAAATGACTAAAAAACTTGTTATGGCCCAGAGTGGTGGCTCACATCTGTAATCCCAGCACTTTGGGAAACCGAGGTGGGCAGATAATTTGAGGTAAGGAGTTCAAGACCAGCTAGCCAACATGGCGAAACCTCGTCTCTACTAAAAATACAAAAATTAGCCGGGCACTGTGGCGTGTGCCTGTGGTCCCAGCTTCTTGGGAGGCTGAGGCAAGAGAATCGCTTGAACCCAGGAGGTGGAGGTTGCACAGTGAGCTGAGATCATGCCACTGCACTCCAGCCTGGTGACAGAGCAAGATTCTATCTTAAAAAAAAAAAAAAAGAAAAAAAAGAAAAGAAAAACATTTCTTTTTTTCTAGACCCATTCTGTCCCTAACTTTTTACAACTCTTCCCACTATTGATGAGGCTAACTCAAAAATATAAATAATCAAAAAATTTAAAACTTTCTTAATTACTAATTGGGAATAAAGCCTTTCTTGGTACAATTACATCTAATTTCATTCTACAGCATACATGTAGATACAATTGCTTGTGATAATAACAGTGGTCAAGAAATCAGAAACCCATGAGAAAGAATAGAAAACTGAATCAGTTCTAAATTATTAAAGATTATGAACCTGTAGTATATAGTAGGGTATAACTCAACTGGTTTCTAAAATTTTTTGAAATTTTCAATGTAAGTAAAGCATAAGTGTAAAATTTAACCTCCACCATAACAAAATGTCACAAGTTATTTATTACCAGGACCAGAAATAGGAGGACCAAAATTTTCCGTGGATGCAAGGGGTTTGTATTGGCCTACATGATTGGCATTTCTTATCCATGCTCCAAATCCAGTTTGAATGACAATTTTTTTTCCAACCATGTTTCCTCTAAGTAAAATTCTTGAATCACCAATTACATACTTCTCCCTTAGCTGCAGTCCTTTTTAATTAATAAAATAAACTATATTTTTTTTAAAGTTAACATTTTTCCTGTTTATTCAAGATGATTATGGAAACTACAATAGCACAAAATTAAAATGCTGCTTGATTGTTCCCTGAGAAATTTTAGAAACTAAGTAGCCAATTTGAGTAATTCAAGTATAAAGAAAAGAAAAAGAAATATATAGGACTTTTTTAGATGGAGGTATACTAAATTTTTTAAATTATAACTATGTAGTACTGTCTTTGAAAGTAATCATTTTCTTTTTCATTTAATTCAGCAAATGAAGGTCCAATTTCTTGTATATGAATGTTTTAAAACTGATCATAACTAATGCTGAGAAAAAAAGAATACTCTTTTCTGAGTTAATTACCCAAGTTCAAAATAAGCACTCTCTGACAAAGTAATAAATACTCTGCTATGTTAAAATTGATTATTTTAACCATTATGCAATAAATATCTATAGGTGATATTTAGTCAACTCAAAGATATTTTTGTATGCAACGTAAAAAAGCATTATTAGATAATATGTACCTAGAGGGCTATATTTAAATAAAGAAATGTTTTCATTATGTAATATATAAAATTGACACTACAATATGTTACTTACAGGTTTATAAAAGGTTATTTTGGTAATGTAACACGTGTTCCTTTTGTCTGTGATACTATTCTTATGCTAAGTACTAGTTTATAAGTCTTCTAAAGCCACAGTAACATGTTAATGGGACCAAGGATCAGCATCAATCCAATCCTAGAACACTGTTTAAATAAAGATCAAGTTTCAGGGAAAACATTGTCAGTTGTGAAGAGTCTATAAACTATGCTCTGAATTTCTCCAATATCTCACTAATATGTTAGGAGTCCTCAGAAGTTCGATGGTCTATAAAGTCTGTTTTGTAATTTAGTTGTGTTCAATAATTACATAATACACTATTGTGAGTCTGAAATAATCATTAAAAATACGTTGAGAAGGATTTGTTTCTTGATCTTGATAATGAGTCAGGGTCTCTCTTATTGCATGGTTATTTCTTTAATCTATTATTAGTGTAAAAATGAATGATGAATTAAAAATATCTCTTCTTATTTCTTTCTATTTAATTATTGTTTTAGAGTACTATCTTTTAAAATTTATATTGAGTGCACATTTTATTGCAAAATACTGTTAATATTCATAGATACATAGAAAACACATACTTAGAAAAAATAATGCCCACTGCTCTGTCTGCTATCTACCAAATGTATTTTTATATTATGAAAGTGTAATTCCTTACTTTCTTTCATGATATTACATTAAAAACCATACTCTAAAACCTGAACCACACACACTGCATATTTTTGTATAATTTTTACATAATTTGGGAACTATATAATAAATTAACAAGAAGTCTCATTAGGTTAATGTATTTTTGATGGCTTTATAAAAGTAAAATGTAAAATCTGGTTTTGTTTGCTAGATCAAGTATTTTGCTTTATATTATAGATCTGTATCTTTAGGTATAGCTTTATGGAGTTAAATCATGCACTTTACAAAAACAATGTGGCCTAAGCCTTCAAGATTTCTGATAGATACAACCGAAATGTTTAATCCTGGTTCAGTGATATGTTTCTGGAACCATATACATTTCCACATATATTATAAAACATCCTTTCTATTCTTCAGCTTGTCAAAGATCTATAGTTTTCATGACAGAATTATAAAAACTGATCATTGGATTGAACCACTGGAAGGATTTACAAATAACTAATGCCATTGGTGTTAATAAATAAGGGCGTGGAACAAATAACCTTGAAAGTAAAGTACACTCGTGGGCCAAGCATTGTTATCACTTACCAGCTCTTCCTGAAGTTGGGAAATGAGTTCATCCTTCTCTTTCAGCTGCAGCTTGAGCATCGAGCATTCATCTTTCATTATATCCTATAAAAACATCAAAGAGACAGCATAATAGGCTTAGCCCTTTTACTTTGCTCTTGATAAGGAAAGTCAGCTTCACACAGTGGGAGATAATTGCATCTGACTAACGAAACTCAAATTCCCTCTATAGTATGATATTTTTCATAATATATTCTTAGTTGCAAAAAATAAGTTAATGTATCCAAAAAATGCTTTTATGCTACACATAATCATGTAGACACACACACACACACACACATCCACACACACATATGTTTTTGCTTAGTTTTTTGTTTTGTTTTTGGTATTCCTCTATCGATTTATTTGCCTATGACAGAAACCAGGAAACCTTCCTAAATTATTCCCTCTCATGTTTGTGCATACATAGTAAGTAGAACAGAAATAACTCTACATTTAAAAAGATACTGATATGGCTTGGCTCAGTGTCCCCACCCAAATCTCATCACGAATTGTAATCCCCACGTGTGGAGGGAGGGACCTGGTGGGAGGTGATTGGATCATGGGGGTGGTTTCTCCCATGATATTCTCATGATAGTGAGAAAGTTCTCATGAGATCTGATGGTTTAAAAGTGGCAGTTTTCCCTGAGACTCTCTGACTCCTGCCACTTTGGGAGGACATCCCTTACTTCCCATTAGCCTTCCACCATGATTGTAAGTTTCCTGAGGCTTCCCCAGTCATGAGAAACTGTGAATCAATTAAACCTTTTTCCTGTATAAATACCCAGTCTTAGATCATTCTTTATTGCAATGTGAAAATGGATAATACAGAAAATTGGTGATTGGAGTGGGGCACTGCTATAAAGATAAACTGAAAATGTGGAAGCACCTTTGAAACTGGGTAATGGGCAGAGGTTGGAACAGTTTGGAGGGCTCAGAAGACAGGAAGATGTGAGAAAGTTTGGAGCTTCCTAGAAACTAAAATGGTTTTGATTAAAATGTTATGGTGATTTGGTCAACAAAGTCCAGGCTGAGGTAGTCTCAAATGAAGATAAGGAACTTATTGGGAACTGGAGTAAAGGTCACTATTGCTATGCTTTAGCAAAGAGCCTGGTGCCATTTTGCCACTGCCCTACAGATCTGTGAAACTTTGAACTAGAGAGACATGATTTAAGGTACCTGGTGGAAGAAATTTCGAAGCAGCAAAGCATTCAAGAGGTGACCTGGCTGATTCCAAATGCATTCAGTCATATGCATTCAAAAACAAATTATTGGAAACAGGCACTTTTATTTAAAAGAGAAGCAGAGCATAAAAGTTTGAAAAATTTGCAGCCTGACCATGAGGTAGAAAAGAAAAACCCATTTTCTGGGGAAAAATTCAAGATGACTGCAGAAAATTGCCTAAGTAATGAAGAGCCAAATGTTATAGCCAAGACAATGGGGAAAATGTCTCCAGGTCATTTCAGAGATCTTCACTGCAGCCTCCCATCACCGTACAGGAGCCTCTCCCAACAAGGGAAGCAGCCTCTCCCATTACAGGCCAGGAGGCTTAGGAGTGAAAAATGGTTTTGTGGGCTGTGTCCAGGGCCCTGCTGCTCTGTGTAGCCTTGGGCCATGGCAGCCTGCATCCCAGCTGCTCTAGCTCCAGTCATGGCTAATAGGGGCCAACGTACAGCCCAGGTCTTTCTTCAGAGGGTACAAGCCCCAAGCATTGGTGGCTTACATGTGGTGTTGGGCCTGCGGGCACACAGAGGATAAGAGTTGAGGTTTGGGAACCTCTGCCTAGATTTCAGAGAATGTATGGAAATGCCTGGATGTTCAGGCAGAAGTCTGCTGCAGGGGTAGAGCCCTTAAGGAGAACCTCTGCTAGGGCAGTGCAGAAGGGACATGTGGGGTTGGAGCCACCCACACAGAATCCCCACTGGGGCACTGCTTAGGGGAACTGTGAGAAGAGGGTCACTGTCCTCCAGACCCCAGAATCATAGATCCACCAACAGCTTGCACCATGTGCCTGGAAAAGCCACAGGCACTGTATTAGTCCATTTTCATGCTGCTGATAAAGACGTATCTGAGAATGGAAAGAAAAAGAGGTTTAATTGGACTTATAGTTTCACATGGATGGGGAGGCCTCAGAATCATGGCAGGAGGTGAAAGATGCTACTTACATGGCAGTGGCAAGAGAAAATGAGGAAGAAGCAAAAGTGGAAACCCCTGATGAACCCATCAGATCTGTGAGACTTATGCACAATCACGAGAATAGCATAGGAAAGAACAGCCCCTGTGATTCAATTACCTCCCCCGGGGTTCCTCCCACAACATGTGGGAATTCTGGGAGATACAATTCAAGTTGAGATTTGGGTGGGGACACAGCCAAACTATATCAGGCACTCACCACCAGGCTGTGAAAGGAGCCGCAGGGGATATACCCCACAGAGCCACAGGGGTGGAGCTGCCCAAGGCCATGGGAGTCCATCCCTTGCATCGGCATTCCCTGGATGTAAGACACAGAGTCAAATGAGATTTTGGAGCTTTAAGATTTAATGACTGGCCCACCAGGTTTCAGAATTGCATGAGGCCTGTGGCCCTTTTGTTTTGGCCAATTCCTTTCATTTGGAATAAGAACATTTACCCATTGCCTGTACCTCCATTGTAGCTTGGAAGTTAAGTAACTTGCTTTTGATTTTACAGGCTCATAGATGAAAGAGATTTGCCTTGTCTCAGATGAGACTTTGGACTTGGACTTTTGAGTTAATGCTGTAATGAGTTAGACTTTGGGGGACTGTTGTGAAGGCAAGATTGGTTTTCAAATGTGACAAGAATGTGAGATTTGGGAGGGGCCAGGGACAGAATGAAATGGTTTGTCTCTGTGATCCCACCCAAATCTCATCTTAAATTGTAATTCCCATGTGTCACAGGAGAGACCTGGTGGGAGGTGATTGGATCATGGGGGTGGTTTCCCCTATGCTGTTCTGGTGATACTGAGGGAGTTCTCATGAGATCTGATGGCTTAAAAGTGGCAGTTTCCCTTAAGCTCTCTCTCTCTCCTGCTGCTTTGTGAAGAAGTACCTTGCTTCCCCTCAGCCTTCCGCCATGATTTTAAGTTTCCTTAGGCCTCTCCAGCCACACAGAATTGTGAGTCAATTAAATCTCTTTGTTTTATGTATTACCCAGTCTCAGGTTGTTCTTTATAGTGGTGTGAAAATGGACTAGTATAGATACTATATCTACCATTTGGTCCCTGGCTATAATTAAATATTAATTCTCAAACCAATATCCATGTTACAGTGCTCATCTTTAGTGATGTCCCTGTAACAATTGTGCCTTTCACTAGAGCTCAATCTTTGGGCATTTAATCTTCTCACTCTGCATGTACACCCAACCACGACCTCAATGTACACAATATATCCACATCCATGGCCTCTACTACTCTATGCTGGTGTGATGGTTAATACTGAGTATCAAATTCATTGGATTGAAGGATACAGGGTATTGATCCAGGGTGTGTCTGTGAGGCTGTTGCCAATGGAGATTAACATTTGAGTCAGTGAGCTGGGAAAGGCAGACTCACCCTTAATCTGGGGGGGCACAATCTAATCAGCTGCCAGAATGGCTAGAATATAAGCAGGCAGAAAAATGTGAAAAGAGAGAGTGGCCTAGCCTCCCAGCCTACATATTTCTCCTGTGCTGGATGCTTCCTGCCCTTGAACATTGGACTCCAAGTTCTTCAGTTTTGGAATTTGGACTGGCTCTCCTTGCTTCTCAGCCTGCAGATGGCCTATTGTGGACCTTGTAATCATGTGAGTTAATACTTAATAAACTCATATATATATATGTGTTTATATATATATATATATATATGTGTATATATATGTGAGTTTATTAAGTGTATATATGTGTGTGTGTGTGTGTGTGTGTGTATATATATATTCCATCAGTTCTGTCACTCTAAAGAACCCTGACTAATACAGCTAGTAACTACAAGATACAACTAGCTAATCCAGAATTATCTGTATTCCAAGCTCCAGCTCTTAAGTACAACTACTCACTAAACATATACTCAATATTGTTCCACAGACACTCCAATTCAACATCCTCTTCCGCCACCTTAAGACTTCACTTCTGCTGATTTCCCCATTATCTTCCTATTTCCTAAATTAATAATCAGGAAGCCATCATATACGCTCAGCTGCTACTCACTTTGAACCAAATCTGGAACCAAATTTAATCTCCACTTCTTCACTATTTCTTGGACTTACTCCTCTCCATTCCACATTGACAGTCTAAGTACTTGTTGCTTCTTACCCAAATTTCTGTAATTGTCTCTAAAGTGATTTTTCCTTTATCTCTATCACTTTCCTTATTTGCCAGAGAGATTTTTCTAAGCAGGAATTAATTTTGTCACTTCCTAATTTAACAGCTAATCATCTTCTCCTTCAGGAAGAAAATCAAAACTCTTCAGCATAGTGTATTGTACCCTTCATTAACTGTTACTTGCTTATTTCCGGAGCTGCAAGTTTTTGACTTTCAACCTCCTCACTTTGTTCATTCCTACAGCACTGAAATGCAATGTTGTTTCACATCTCCTCACTTTACACATGCAAATTTCTGGATTTTATTGCCTTCTACCCGTTGTATCCTTCTCTCCCTCACAATACCTCATGCTCCAAGACACATCTCAAGAATTACTCCTGCCGGATGCGGTGGCTCATGCCTGTAACCCCAGCACTTTGGAAGGCCGACGCGGGCGGATCACAACGTCAGGAGACAGGAGATCGAGACCATCCTGGCTAACACAATGAAACCCCGTCTCTACTAAAAATACAAAAAATTAGTTGGGCGCGGTGGTGGGCACCTGTAGTCCCAGCTACTCAGGAGGCTGAGGCAGGAGAATGGCGTGAACCCGGGAGGCGGGCCTTGTAGTGAGCCGAGATCGCGCCACTGCACTCCAGCCTGGGCGACAGAGCGAGACTCCGTCTCAAAAAAAAAAAAAAAAAAGAATTACTCTTTATTTCACTAGAAAGATTTTCCTTTTTGGCCAAGTGGCACACCCCTTTGGGAATGCTCCATAGCATCCATACCATACATCATTTCATGCAATACTTAAAGTGTTGTTTGCTTGTTCCCCAACCTCACTGAACTAGTTTTGGTTGTTGTTGTTGTTGTTGTTGTTGTTGTTGTTGTTGAGAGGGAGTCTCGCTCTTGTTGCCCAGGCTGGAGTGCCTTGGCACAATCTCGGCTCACCGCAACATCTGCCTCCCAGGTTCAATTCTCCTGCCTCAGCCTCCCGAGTAGCTGGGATTACAGGCACGTGCCACCACACCTGGCTAATTTTTTGTATTTTTAGTAGAGACGGGGTTTCACCATGTTGGCCAGGCTGGCCTCAAACTCCAGACCTCAGGTGATCTGCCCACCTTGACCTCTCAAAGTGCTGGGATTACAGGCATGAGCCACTGTTCCTGGCCTCACTGAACTAGTTTTATTCCCTATTTGAGCATATAGTTTCTATTGCATTACCATATTACTAGCACCAAACATAATAACTGACACATATAAGGTGATCAAATTTGGCTGGCCATGGTGGCTCTCGCTTGTAATCCCAGCACTTTGGGAGGCCAAGGAAGGAGGATAGCTTGAGCCCAGGACTTCAAGACTAGCTTGGGTAACACAGTGAAACACCATCTCTATTTGAAAAAAAGAAGATGCTCAAATTCATGTTTTTTTCCAATACAATTACCAAATAAGCAGTATAAACAGCAGTATACCCATTTTCTCTGAAATCTGGCACCCTTATCTGAGCTGACAAGGAACAACAACAACCAAAAACATCTAAAGGATTAGAGAAAACATAATACCTGTTTATTCTGGTTCTCATGGTAGAATTTCTACTTCTTCCATACTGAACTACAAAGAATGTATAGTTCTTATTCATTTATTTAGAGACAGGGTATCACTCTGTCTAGTAGTCTGGAGTGCAATGGCTCAATCAAGGCTCACTGTAACCTCAAAGTCCTGGGCTCAAGTAATCTTCCTGCCTCGGCCTCCCAAGTAGCTAGGACTGCAGGCATGCACCACCACATCCAACTAACTTTTTTTTTTTACCTTATTATTTTTTTAATTTTATTTTCATTGGTTTGTTATTATTATTTCTATAGCTTTAGGGGTACAAGTGGTTTTTGGTTACATGGATGAATTGTATAGTGGTGAAGTCTAGGATTTTAGTGTACTTATCACTTAAATAGTGTACATTGTACCCAATAGGTAATTTTTCACCCCTCACTCCCTTCACACTTCCCTGCTTCTAAGTCTCCAGTGTCTATTATATCACTCTGGCTTTGCATACCCACAGCTTAGCTCCCACTTATAAATAAGAACATGGGGTATTTAGTTTTCCATTCCTGAATTACTTCCAAGTTGCTGCAAAATACTTTCACTAGTTTGTTATTTTTATGGCTAAATAGTATTCCACAGTGTGTGCTGTGTGTGTGCGTGTGTGTGTGTGTGTGTGTGTGTGTGTGTATGATCTTGCTCTTCACCAAGGCTGGAGTACAGTAGTATGATCAGCTTACTGTAACCTCAACCTCCTATGCTTAAAGGATCCTCCTGCCTCAGCCTCTTGAGTAGCTAGGACTACAGGCATATGCTACCATGCCTAGCTAATTGTGTGTGTGTGTGTGTGGAAATGGGGTCTCACTTTGTTGCTCAGACTGTTCTTAAATTCCTGGGCTCAAGTGATCCTCCTACCCCAGCATCCCAAAATGTTGGGATTACGGACATCAGCCACCGTGCCTGACTTATAATACCATGTTTTCTTTATACATTTATCAGTTGATGGGCACTTAAATTGATTCCATATCTTTGTAATTGTGAATTGTGCTGTGGTAAACATATGCATGCACATGTCTTTTTGATATAATGATTTCTTTTCCTTTGGGTAGATACCCAGTAGTGAGATTGCTGAATTTAATAATAGAGGTACTTTTAGTTCTTTGAGAAATCTCCATAATATTTTCCAGAGGTTGTACTAATTTATAGTCTCATCAGCAGTGCATAAGTATTCCATTTTCACCATTTACCACATCCATGGTAACATCTATTGTCTTTTGATTTTTTAATAATGGTTATTCTGGATAAAGTGACATCTCATTGTGGTTTTAATGGACATTTCCCTGCTGGTTAGTGATGTTGAGCATTTTTTCATATGGTTTGTTGGCCATTTGTATATCTTATTTTGAGGAATGTCTGCTTATGTCATTTACCCACTTTTTGATGGGATTATTTATTTTTTTTCTTGCTGATTTGAGTTGCTTGTAGATTCTGGATATTAGTTCTTTGTCGATGTACAGGTGGCAAATATTTTCTCTCATTCTATAAGTTGTCTGTTTACTCTGTTGATTATTTCTTTTGTTGTATAGAAGCTTTTAAGTTTAATTAGGTCTCATTTATTTATTTTCCTTTTTGTTACATTTGTTTTTGGGGTCATAGTCAAAAATTCTTTGCCTAAGCCAATGTCCAGAATCGTTTCTCTTAGGTTTTCTAATATAATTTTTATGGTTTTAGGGCTTAGATTTAAGTCTTTAATCCATCTTCCGTTAATTTTTGTACATGGTGAGAATAGGGATCCAGTTTCATTCTTCTACATCTGGCTATCCAATTTTTCCAGCATCATTTATTGAATAGGGTGTTCTTTGCTCAGTGTATGTTTTTGTTGGCTTTGTCAAAGATCAGCTGGCTGTTGCATTTGGTTTTATTTCTGGGTTCTCTATTCTGTTCCAATGGTCTATGTATCTACTTTTATACAGGTACCATATTGTTTTGGTTACTATAGCCTTGTAGTAAAATTTGAAGTAATATGATGCCTCCAGATTTATTCTTTTTGCTTAGGATTACTTTGGCTATTAGCACTCTTTTTTGGTTCCACATAAGTTTTAAAATTTTTTTTTCCTAATTCTGCAAAAAATGACGTTGGGGTATTTTTATAGGAATTGCATTGAATCTTTGGATTGCTTTGGACAATATGGTCATTTTCACAATTTTGATTCTAACAGTCCATGAGCTTAAGCATAGGATGTATTTCCATTTTTTATGTCATATATGATTTTTTTCATCAGTGTTTTATAGTCCTTACAGAGCTCTTTCATCTCCTTGGTTAAGTATATTCATAAGTTTTTTTTTTTTTGCAAATGTAAATGAGACTGAGTTCTTGATTCGATTTTCACCATGGTCATTATTTTACCCAGAAACTTTTAAAATATTTTGTTGAGATGGAGTTGCTTTATGTTGTCCATGCTGGCCTCAAACTTCCTACCTTGGCCCCTTGAAGAGGTAGGACTACAAGTGTGAGCCACCACACCTAGCTTAGTTGTAATTTATTAATATATCTTTTCATTTGCTGACAACCAGCTTGACTACAAGGAAGATGCTTATTAACTCTTTCTGTTCCACCTCTTTTACAGTAGTCCAATTTCTTCCCCAAATCTTGGGTATTATGGACAAGGATTATACTCATTTTTAATACTTATACTCCTAGACTCTAAATATTACTGTTAATGGTAAAAGGTTTTACCTGCTCTACATTGCAAAGGAAATATTAATATTAGCATAGTAGGATGCAGGTAAGATAATAATCATGATTCTTACAATCAGAGAGATACAGGATCAAATCCTGGATGCTACAAGTAACTAGCCAGGTAGTTCTGTGCTAGTTACTTAACTTCTTTAGTCCCATGGAAATTTCTGTGGAGGTTGATGATGACACCAAACTATAACCACCTTACGACAAAAACTCTATTGTATTACTACTTATATTACCAAAGTCTTGCATAATATGTCACTTAAGAAAAGTTAATTTTATTCATAAAATAAAATGTCACAAGTTGGTTCTCCAGGAATCAAATGGAGTTAAGGATACATAAAGTTTATTAAGGAAGGGAAAGGAAAGGAAATGTGAAGAAAAAAAAAAAAGAAGAGGATTCAGGATTGAGTAGGGGACAGTCAAACCTTGATTCCTACTAACAAATTCTCTATGAGCCAAATGAGGGGCTCATAGCTAAGATTTCCTGTTACAGAAATCCCCCTGTTGAGCAAAAGTGGGTTGGCTCTTGTACTACTCCCTTGTTCACTCATTGGTTGGGGAGTGCCTCATGAATAGCTAGATCTCAGCCTTTGCTTCAGATCACCCAGTGATGAGCTTGAACTTCATCTGGAGAGCTGAGGCTGACCCTTGAAAAAGCTAATGCTGTAGTGGGCTAGCCACACTCCTGGAAGCTGGTCAGTGAGTCCTTTATTGAGATGGGATCTGAGATTTGGCCTATATCTACTACAGTTGTTTTTGTTGAACAATTAACAACAGTATTTTTGTATTAATTAACATTTTGTTAATTAAATAGTTTAAAATGGAACATTTCCCTATATTGTGGCTACTAGGAACTGCAAAGAAACTCAGTTTTCCAAAATTATGCTCATTTAAAAAATTCTCAGATTTTATTCCCAGGAAAATTTCTGAAGGAGTTCACAATCTCACCACATTAAACTGGATAGATGCTAATATATCATTTACATTCATTTATGGAATAACACATATAAAATATTTATTATATGCCATAAGAAGACAATTTATAAAAGTCTTCTCTATGAATGGCTTTGCAAATGAATTTTTGCTACCCAGCATTTTGTCTTTAGTTGTATATATACAGTGGCAACATTCACATAAATATTAGCTTGGTGCAAAAGTAATTTAGGCTTTTGCCATTACTATATAACAAAAACTGCAATTGCTTCTGCACCAACCTAAAATATCTATCTAGCAGGCAAAATGAAAGCCTTTAAACAACTCTTACTCTCAAATGAGGGTTGATAGCAATAACCCATCAAAATTCTCATTGTATTTGCAAAATTCTAGAACATATTTTTAAGGATGATCTATTGAGTTAGAAATCATATTGATGTGTAGAATGAACAGGATTTTAATATTCTTGGTATTCAAAATGAAGTTATTCCATTAACCTGTAGGCTAATGTAACCAATTTGACCCTGTGCTTGTAAAAATGCATATTATTCATTGATAGGAAAAATATAATTTAATAATTATGACATTCTCTTTCTCATTCAAGTGTAATTAATTTTTGAACTAAAATTCAATTCTATTATTTCTTAATTCAATAATTATCCATAAATATGGAACTCAGTGTGGTAGATTAAAGACAGCTATAAACCCTTTGCTAGTATTCCTATTGAAAAGTGGAGTCTAATGTTCCTGTCCTTGCATCTTGGCTAGTCTTATTGACTTGCAATGATTAATAGAATATGATGACTCTGCATGACTTTCAGGATTAGATCAGGAAAGGCCTTCCATCATGGTCAGTTATAATGCTCCTTCTGAGGTTACTCCTTTGCAGAAAGAACCCAGTAGCCATGCTGAGAAGCAGAAACCACATGGCGCTTCCACTGACAGCTTCACTGAGCTCCCAAAGGACACCCAACATCAACCGGTGTTGAATGCTGGGTGTTGAATACTGTGAGTATGAGCTACCTTGGACATCTAGGCTGGTGGAGTCTTCAGGTGACTAAAGTCTCAGCTAACATCTCACTCTAACTGCCTGAGAAACACAAGGCTAGAACTTCCCAGTTGAATCATTCCCAAGTTCTTGACATAGAAAATTGTGAACTAAATAAAATTATAGTTTTAAGCCACTAAATTTTGAAATAACTTGTTACAAGATCATCTAAACATAGAGACAAACTCTATTATAGTTCAGATTAGTGTAAATTATGTCATTATAGTTGTGTAAAAATGCATACAGTAAATTTTTTAAAGTAAATATTTTGTGATTTAATTTTTGATTTTTGTGATTTAAATTATATTTGCAATGATTTTCAAATAGCTCATTTCAAGTATATCAGCAATATTTATGTTCTTATGATATAACCTACTAAAGAATCTGAAATACGGATAAAAAATTACATACAAGTGATTTCATTCCTGTACTTCTATTTTATAAATCCGGAAAGTTACAGCCACATACTCAGAAATTTGGGTAGTTTGTCCCAGGTTCAGTTTCCTGACTCCAGTCTTATACATTTTATAATGCATTTTGCCTGTATTTGGAATTATCTCATTGTTTAAGACTATTAACTAAATAGAAATCAAATGTCAAAAACTAAAAGCAAGTAAAATCCATAAATTATTTTGAACAATAATATTATGCTGAAATGCTACAGTAACCAAAACAGCATGGTACTGGTACCAAAACAGACACATAGACCAATGGAACAGAACAGAGGCCTCAGAAATAACACCACACATCTACAACCATCTGATCTTTGACAAATCTGACACAAACAAGCAATAGGGAAAATATTCCCTATTTAATAAATGTTGTTGGGAAAACTGGCTAGACGTATGCAGAAAACTGAAACTGGACCCCCTTCCTTACACCTTATACAAAAATCAACTCAAGATGTATCAAAGACTTAAACGTAAAACCTAGGACCATAAAAATTCTAGAAGAAAACTTGGGCAATACCATTCAAGACATAGGCATGGACAAAGACTTCATGTCTAAAACACCAAAAGCAACAGCAAAAAAAGCCAAAACTGACAAATGGGATCTAATTAAACTAAAGAGCTTCTGCATAGCAAAAGAAGCTATCATCAGAGTGAACAGGCAGCCTACAGAATGGGAGAAAATTTTTGCAGTCTATCCATCTGACAAAGGAGTAATAACCAGAATCTACAAAAAACTTAAACAAATTTACAAGAAAAAAACAAACAACCCCATCAAAAAGTGGGCAAAGGATATGAACAGACATTTCTCAAAAGAAGACATTTATGCAGCCAACAGACATAAGAAAAAATAATCATCATCACTGGTCATCAGAGAAATGCAAATCAAAACCACAATGAGACACCATCTCACGCCAGTTAGAATGGTGATCATTAAGAAGTCAGAAAACAACAGATGCTGGAGAAGATGTGGAGAAATAGGAAAACTTTTACACTGTTGGTGGGAGTGTAAATTAGTTCAACCATTGTGGAAGACAGTGTGGTGATTCCTCAAGGATCTAGGACTAGAAATACCATTTGACCCAGCAATCCCATTACCAGATATATACCCAAGGGATTATAAATCATTCTAGTATAAAGACACACACACACATATGTTTATTGCAGCACTATTCACAATAGCAAAGACTTGGAACCAACCCAAATGTCCATCAATAACAGACTGGATAAAGAAAATGTGGCAGATATACACCATGGAATACTATGCAGCCATAAAAAAGGATGAGTTCATGTCCTTTGCAGGGACATAGAACAAGCTGGAAACCATCATTCTCAGCAAACTATCACAAGGACAGAAAACCAAACACCACATGTTCTCACTAATCAGTGGGAGTTTAACAATGAGAACACATGGACATAGAGAGGGGAACATCACACAGCAAGGCCTGTCAGGGGGTGGGGGACTAAGGGAGGGATAACATTAGAGAAATACCTAAAGTACGTGACAGGTTGATGGGTGCAGCAAACCACTGTGGCACATGTATACCTGTGTAAGAAAACTGCATGTTCTGCACATGTACCCCAGAACTTAAAGTATAATTTAAAAAAAGACAAAAACATTAAAAAATGCAAATAAAAAACAAATAATAATTTCTAATTCTCACAAACCTCCCAATAATTCCTCCAGTAAATTTATGAACATAATTTTTGGCTTCTCAAACACATCAAGTTTGACATTGAGTCATCATGACTTTCTTTGTATTTGTAGACTGCTGGTCTTCTCTCTGGAGGGCTTTACTGTAAGATTTACAAGCTGTTTCCTTATTCTTATAAACAAAAAATTCAAAAGATTAAAAAACAAAGAAAACAGACAACTTTATCAGGGCAAACAAGGACAGAATTTTATGAACAAGTGAAAAAAAAAAAGAAGAAAGAAAAAAGGAATATGGCCAAGGACAGAGGTCAGAGATGAGAAAACACAACGATGTGTAATCATTGACAATATATTCTGCTCTACCTAAATAAGTGACCTCATATAATTCTTATGTTGACTTAGTTTCAAAGTAGCATGCTGTCTGCAACACCTGGGTAGCTAGTGAAATAAATCAGTGGAGGTATATACTCATCCAAATAGGTCCATGGGAGGCACTGCTTCTCAAATACTGAAAACAAGGTTAAGAAAACCACAATTTTGTTTCTTTATTAGTTAGCGCAAAACAATTAAAAAATATTTTATATATCATTTCAGCATTAATAATTACTACTTGATGCTATAAAATTTTTTTATAAACATTAACTAAAAATTCATTGTAGATCTATCTTTATATGCTCACTTAAGAGATTAACATTCCATTGATTTACAGTAAGTGTACTTTTTAAATGAGTACTATTTAAATACTATTAAATGAATACTATTGAAATACTATTTAAAAATTTTAAAAGCATAATATTTTTAGGATATCTTTACTGATTATACAACTACATTTACTAGAGGTAAAATTCACATAGTTTACCCACAGAATTTTATATATACATATAAATATATTTACATATAATATATATTATATATATTTATATTTATATATTTGTAATTAATTTATTTTTTTTTTAGATGGAGTCTCACTCTGTTGCCCAGGCTGGAATGGAATGGCATGATCTTGGCTCACTGCAAACTCCGCCTCCCGGGTTCAAGCGATTCTCGTGCCTCAGCCTCCCAAGTAGCTGAGACTACAGGCACCCACCACCATGCCTGGCTAATTTTTGTATTTTTAGTAGAGGCAGGGTTTCACCATATTGGCCAGGTTGATCTTGAACTACTGACCTCGTGATCCACCCCGCTTGGCCTCCCAAAGTGCTGGGATTACAGGCGTGAGACAACGCCCCCAGCCTAGAATTATACATATATTCTAAAGAACTAAAAAATATATTACCAAACAATAGCATAGATTGTATATTCTAAGTCTTTTTTACAGTTTTGAAATAAAACTAAACAAATGATTCTTAGACATTATATTTACTCTGATTTTCTCTGGTATTTATATGAAATGTTGATGAAGTTTACAAATAAAACACAAACTATAATGTAATTTTAAAATATATCCATGATCAAAGTAAATGGCATTTATTAATTTAGTATTGAAATTATTAATAATTTATCTTTTACGGGATGGTCAAGAGAAAACAGTTGTTCAAAGCCAGTATGTTAGAAATGTATTTTTTTAGCATATTAGTCAAATAAGGAAATAGCATTGTCTCTTGATACAGTGGCATATCTCCTAAGATTTTCAAGCAATTGAGGAAGAATGTTTGGATATCAGCATAATCTTTTTGACAATGAATGGTACTCTTAGAATATCTTAAAAATTCTTACCGATATAAATCTTTCAAAAAATAATAATACCACCTTACATTTGTACAGAGGCTTTATCATTTAAAAAACACTCCTTTGTACAAAACTATGTTTTACTATCACAATCTTTCTTAATTTGTTATTGAAAACATATTACATTTCTAGAATAAGTAGGGTTTCAGACATAAAAAGTAAGCAGAGAAAGTAATTGTAGCAAAGATGAAATAAAAGAAAAACATATATCATAATACCAAGAAAGTGTTCATCAGCCTCTCAACAAAATTCACTGAAGTCCTACATTTTTTGGAAAAGTTAAAAACATGAGCTTACAATGATAAATTTGTTAAGATGTCAAAAAAGTTCCATGAGACTATGTTCTTGTCATTTCCAATTTGTTAGTGTCCTCTTTGTTTCATTTTTTTGAACTAACAATAAAAAATAATGAGGTTGTACAACTTTTCTAATGTAATGTAGCCCATCTTACTGATTTTTTTCGATTATACAGTAAGAGAACAGAGCATTTCAACCTATCTTTATAAAAACACTACTCAAGTCTTTCCTTATTTTTTTGTTTGATCCAATTCTTTCATAAAATTTAAAATTTAAAAATAAACATTGGTATTTACTTTTCTAAAGCTATCTTAAAATGACAGTATTTTGCATGTAGAAGAATGAGAACCAAATTTCCCAGGGTCATAGAATGAGTTACTACACAACATAAATTAGTTTTCTGATCTCCTAAAACCCATGGGTTTCATTAAAAATCGATTTGGAACTATATTTAAGACATAAGTCGCTTTACAAACTTATCAACAATGAGCTTCTTAACAGAAACAGTCAACAAGTGATAAAGCGATAACTTACACTGTCTCACTGGCATTGCTTGATAAGACATTTTAGGAGAAAGTAATGCATTTAAGAGGTTGTGAGAGTCTCTTGATTCCAGCATTTTTGTTTCCCAGAGGAGATAGCTAGGAAATGCCATATTCTACCTGTATTTCTTAAGCAAGGTAAGAAATTGTTTACATGTCTCCTCCCACAATGTAAACTACACATGAAAAAAATAAAAAATAAAAAGCTAGTCACAGAGCTTATGTGTGTAATCACAACATTTTGGGAAGACAAGGCGGAAGATTTCCTGAGCCCAAGAGTATGAGACCAGCCTGGGCAACATGGTAAGACCTCGTCTCTACAAAAAATAATAATGATAAGAAGAAGAAAAGAAAAAATGGTTTAAAACATTATATTAAAAGTTCCTTTCTGTTATGAAGCATGCTTACTGGCTTTTTGTGTTTTACATAGGAATAAAGGAAATTTTATCTATTTATCTACCTAAACCTCCTAAATTAAGAAATTATGGGAAACAGCACCACCAAGGGACCAAGATGACTGGCATGCTCCTAACAGGCCTTCAGAGGGAAGGCACCAAGAGTGGACAGAAGGAAGACACAGAAGCTGGGCTGAAGCAGGAGAAAGCTCGGAACTCTGCACGGGTCCAGCGTGCAACAGGACTTGTTCCTGGCCCCCAGTGGCTCCCAGGGAATGGGTCAGTTGAACTGGCAAGGGGCAGTCTGCTCTCACCATGGGCCTCTGAATCACTGGCAGGAGGAGCCCCGTTGACCACTACAGACACTTGTGTTGGCAGGGAGAGATGCTTAAAGAAGTGTTAAGGACAGCAAGCCAGCTGATGTGGAGTCCAGAGGTTTTTATGTGGGAGCATGTGTAACAGAATATTGCCAGGGATAGCCACCCCCTTGGTTTGACTTGCTCCCATAGGAGACGTTAGTCATGGGGAACTGCTGGACCTGAACTCTGTCAGGCAGTTTTGCCCATCATATGGGGCCTGCGCGACCTGAGCACCCCTTAGTCTTCTGGCTTCTCCTGGGGCCCCAGACTGGCCATGACTGCTTGCAGGGCAGTCTCGGGTTACTTGGGAGCCCATAGCTTCTGCACTGGTGGATTGTGCCTGAGCTGCAGAGAGCTCCAGTGGCACGACGCCTACGGCCACACACCAGCCTGCACACTCTCTCCCCATACTGTAGCTTCCCCAGGGTCCCACATCACTTGGCTGGTGTGTGTCTGCCCAGATGGATTTTTCTTTGCTTACCTCACAGACTGTCTGTCCCCCACCCTCCGCCAACTGCCATTGCAGAGCAGACAGAGCCTTGGCAGGCACAGAACCAGCCAACCTCTCCCCTGCCAGCACCCTGCCCTTGTGCTAATACTGCACAGTGAACAGCAGATCCTCCCTCGTACTGAGTGACCACTCCACCTTCCGGGACACAGAGAAGACACCCAGACCTGTGCCTACCAGCACCCCACCCCTGAGCCAACATCACCTCCAGTGTGACCATACACACAGTTGCCAACAGAGACCCCCCTCACCGCCAAGCTGTGTTGCCTTCACCACTGTGGTGAATGCCTGAAGGGAGGCAGGAACCATGGCACCTGCTGGCACTCTGCTGCAGCTGCCACTACTGTTGCTGCTAGCACGTGAGAACGAGGACTGATCCTACTGTTACTGCACTAAAAAATGCTTTGGCTGGCACCACCCATCAGAGTGTTGTGACCTGTGGTCTGAAAGCACCTTCCGCCACCACCCACTGCCTCCCCCCACCTCAGTGCAGTGGGTTCCTAACATCAAGGAGCCAAGAGAACAAAGTCAGGGCTTAATACAAGCCCCCAGAGTGAGAGCACATAGTCCAGGAGTTGGGGGCTAAGCAGTGACCCCCTAAAATCTTCCAGAAACAAAGCCAGTCAGTTGAATCCACGTAATGTCACAATCAAACCCTGAAGGTCATCAAATAGGATAAAAGAATTTTTAAAAACCCATGCAAATGTCAGCAATATCAAACACTGAAGGTAGATAAGCCCACAAAGATGAAATAGAATCAGTGCAAGAACTGTGTCAACCCAAAAAGCCAGAAGGCCTTTTTTTCCACCAAATGATTGCATCACCTCTCCAGCAAAGGTTCTAAACCAGGGTGAGATGGCTGAAATGACAGAAATAGAATTCAGAATATGGATATGAATGAAGATCACTGAGCTACAAGAGTATATTAAAATCCAGTACAAGGAAGCTAAAAATCCTGATAAATAATGCAGGTGCTGACAGACAAAATAGCCAATATAGAAAATAATGTAACCAACATGATAGACCTGAAAAACACACTACAGGAATTTCATAATGCAATCACAAGTATCAACAGCAGAATATACCAAGAAAAGGAAAGAATCTCATGAATTGAGGACTGACTTTCTGAAATAAGGCAGTCAGACAAATATAGAGAAAAAAGAATGAAAATGAGCAAACAAAACCTCTGAGAAATACGGCATTACGTAAAGAGACCAAACTTACAACTCTTTGGTGTACCTGAAAAATATCAGGAGAATAGAGCCAACTTGGAAAACATAAATCAGAGTATTATCCATGAGAACTTCAGCAACCTACCTAGAGAGGCCAACATTCAAATTCATAAAATGCAGAGAACCACAATAACACATTTTATAAGAAGATCATCCCCAACAGACATAATCTTCAGATTCTCCAAGGTTGAAATGAAAGAACAAAATGTTAAAGGGAGCTAGAGAGAAAGGCCAAGTCACCTACAAAGGGAAGCCCATCAGGCTAACAGCAGACATCTCAGCAGAAACCCTATGAGCCAAAAGACATTGGCGGCCTATATTCAATATTCTTAAAGAAAAGAATTCCAACCCAGAATTTCATACCTCGTCAAACTAAGCTTCATAAGAGGAGGAGAAATAAGATCTTTCTCAGACAAGCAAATGCTGAGGGAATTTGTTACCACCAGACTTGCCTTACAAGAGCTCCTGAAGGAAGCACTAAATACAGAAAGGAAAAACCATTAGCAGCTACTACAAAAATAAACTAAATTACAGATCAGTGACACTATGAAGCAACCACATAAACAAGTAGCAAAATAAACAGTTAACATCATAACAGAATCAAATCCATAAATATCCATATTAACCTTGAATGTAAATGGGCTAAATTCCCCAGTTAAAAGGCACCGAGTGGCAAGCTGGATAAGGAATCAGAAGACCCATTGGTATGCTGTCTTCAAGAGACTAATCTCACATGCAATGACGTAGGTTCAAAATAAAGGGATGCAGAAAAATCTACCAAGCAAATGGAAAACAGATAAAAGTAGGGTTGCAATCCTAGTTTCAGCCAAAACAGACTTTAAACCAACAAATATAAAAATAAAAGACAAGGACAATACATAATGGTAAAGGGTTCAATACAACAATAAGATCTAGCTAACCTAAATATATATGCACCCAACATAGGAGTACCCAGATTCATAAATCAAGTTATTGGAGACCTTCAAAGAGACTTTGACTCTCACATAATAATCATGGGAGACTTTAACATCCCACTGACAATATTAGATCACCAAGACAGAAAATAAGCAAAGATCTTCAAGACACGAACTCAGCACTGGATCAAATGGATCTAATAGACATCTACAGAACTTTCCACCCCAAAAGAACAGAATATACATGCTTTTCATTGTCACATGGCACATACTCTAAAATTGATAACAAAATCAGTAGCAGTAAAACACTCCTTAGCAAATGCAAAAGAACTGAAATCATAAAAAACAATGTCTTGAACCACAGTACAATCAAATTAGTAGTCAAAACTAAGAAATTAACTCAAAACCATATAATTACATTAAAATTGAAAAACTTTCTCCTGAATGACTTTTTGGTAAATAATAAAATTCAGGAAGAAATCAGAAAGTTCTTTGAAATAAATGAGAAAAAAGACACAATGTACCAGAATCCCTGGGACACAGATAAGGTGGTGTTAAGAGGGAAAATTATAGCACTAAATGCCCACATCAAAAAGTTAGAAAGATCTCAAGTTAACAACCTAACATCACAACTAAAAGAAGTAGAAAATCAAGAGGAAACAAATCACAAAGCTAGCAGAAGACAAGAAATAACTAAAATCAAAGCTGAAGGAGATGGGGACAAGAAAAACCCTTCAAAAGATCCACAAATCCAAGAGCTGTTTTTTTTTTTTTTTTTAAATTTAGTACAATAGATATACCACTAGCTACACTAATGAAGAAAAGAGATAATATCCAAATAAACAGAAACAACAAAGAAGGTATTACCACTGACCCCACAGAAATACAAAAAAAAATCAAAATATTATTAATACCTCTATGAACATAAACTAGAAAATCTAGAAAAAATGAATAAATCCTGGACAAATACACCCTCCCAATACTGAGCACGGGAAGAAATGGTATCCCTGAACAGACGAATAATAAGCTCTGAAATTGAATCAATAACAAATAGCCTTCAAAACAATAAAAGCCCAGGACCAGATGGATTCACAGCTGAATTCCACTAGATGTACAGGAAGAGCCAGTATGTTTCTTCCTGAAACTATCCCACATAACTGAGAAGGAGAGACTCCTCCCTAACTCATTCTATGAAGCCAGCATCATCCTGACACCAAAACCTGGCAGAGACACAACAACAAAAAACTTCAGGCCAATATTTTTTATGAACATTGATGCACAAATTCTCAAAAAAATACTGGCAAAACAAATCCAGCAGCACATCAAAATGCTTATCCACCATAATCAAGTAGGCTTTATCCATGAGATGTAAGGTTGGTTCAACATACACAAATAAATAAATGTGATTCATCACATAAACAGAACTAAAGACAAAACCCACATAATTATTTCAATAGATGCAGAAAAGGCATTCAATAAAACTCAACACTCTTTCATGTTAAAAACTTTTGATAAACTAGGTATTGAAGGAACATACCTAAAAATAATAGGAGCCATCTATGACAAACCCACAGCCAACGCTACACTGAATGGGCAAAAGCTGGAAGCATTCTCCTGAAAAACCAGCAAAAGACAAGGATGCCTTCTCTCACCACTCCTATTCAACATAGTATTGAAAGTCCTGGCCAGGATAATCAGGCAAGAGAAAGAAATAAAGGACATCCGAATAGGAAGATAGGATGTCAAACTATCCCTGTTTGCAGAAAGCATGATCCTATATCTAGAAAACCCCATAATCTCAGCCCAAAAGCTCCTTAAGCTGATAAACAACTTCAGCAAAGTCTCAGGATGCAAAATCAATGTGCAGAAATCACGAACATTTCTTTGTTTCCTTTTTTTTTTTTTTTTTGAGACAGAGTTTTGCCCTTGTTGCCCATGCTGCAGTGCAGTGGCACGATCTCGGCTCACTGCAACCTCTGCTTTCTGGTTTCAAGTGATTCTTCTGCCTCAGTCTCCCGAGTAGTTGGGATTACAGGTGCCCGCAACCACGCCTAGCTAAGTTGTATTTTTAGTAGAGATGGGGTTTCACCATGTTGGCCAGGCTGGTCTCGAACTCCTGACCTTGTGATCAGCCCACCCTCTGCCTCCCAAAGTGCTGGGATTACAGGTGTGAGCCACCGCACCCAGCCAGAAATCAGTAACATTTCTATACACCAATAAAAGTCAAGCTGAGAGCCAAATCAGGAATGCAATCCAATTTACAGTTGCCACACACACACAAAAATATACTTAGAAATACAGCTAACAAGGGAAGTGAAAGACCTCTACAAAGAGAACTACAAAACACTTCTCGAAGAAATCACAGATGACACAAACAAATGGGAAAACATTCCATGCTCATAGATAGGAATAATTAATATCATTAAAATAGCCATAGTGCCCAAAGCAATTTACTGATTCAATGCTATTCCTATTAATCTACCACTGACATTCTTCACAGAACCAGAAAATGCTATTTTAAAATTCAAATGGAACAAGGAAAAAAAAGAACGCCTGAATATCAAAGGCAATTGTAAGCAAAAAGAACAAAGCTGGAGGCATCAAGCTACCCAACTTCAAACTATGATACAGGCTACAGTAACCAAAACAGCATGGTACTGGTACAAAACAGACACTTAGACCAATGGAACAAAACAGAGAACCCAGTAATAAGGCCACACAGCTACAAATATATGATCTTCAACAACCCTGACAAAAACAAGCAATGGTGAAAGGATTCCTTATTCAATAAATGGTGCTGGGATAACTGGATAGCTATATGCAGAAGATTGAAGCTGGACCTCTTCCTTACATCATATACAAAAATCTACTCAAGATGGATTAAAGACTTAAATGTAAAACTCAAAACTATAAAAGCCATGGAAGACAACTTAGGCAATACCATTCAGGACATAGGCATGGGCAAATATTTCATTATGAAAACACCAAAAGCAATTACAACAAAAGCAAAAATGGACAAATGGCATCTAATTAAACAAAAGACCTTCTGCATAGTAAAAGAAAGTATCAACAGAGTAAACAGACAACCTACAGAATGAGAGAATATTTTTGCAAACTATGCATCTGATAAAGGTCTAATACCCAGCATCTGTAAGGAACTAAAACAAACTTACAAGACAAAAACAACCCCATTAAAAAGTGTACAAAGGACATGAGCAGACACTTCTCAAAAAGAAGACATACATTCAGCAAACAATCATATCAAAAAAGCTCAACATCACTGATCATTAGAGAAATGCAAATCAAAACCACAATGAGACACCACCTCACAGAATGGTATGTGTTATTAAGAAGTCAAAAAATAACAGCTTCTGGCAAAGTTGCAGAGGACACGAAATGCTTATACGCTGTTGGTGGGAGTGTAAATTAGTTCAACCATTGTGGAAGACACTGTGGTGATTCTTCAAAGACCTAAAAACAGAAATACCATTTGTCACAGCAATCCCATTCCTGGGTATATATTCAAACAAATATAAATCTATTATAAAGACACATGCACACATATGTTCATTGCAGCACTATTCACAATGGCAAAGACGTGGAATCAACCTAAATGTCCATCAATGGCAGACTGGATAGAAAAAATGTGGTATATAAACATCATGAAATACCATGCAGCAATAGAAAAGAATAAGATTACGTCCTTTGCAGTAACATGGATGGAGGCCATTATCCTCAACAAAAAAGGAAAAGAAAACCAAATACTGCATGTTCTCACTTATAAGTGGGAGCTAAATGATAAGAACACATGGACACATAGTGGGGAACAACACACACTGGGGCCTATTGGAGGCTGCAGGGTGGGAGGAGGGAAAGGATCAGGAAAAATAACTAATGAATACTAGGCTTAATACCTGGGTGACAAAATAATCTGTACCATAAATGCCCATGACACAAGTTTACCTACATAACAAACCTGCACATGTATCCTTGAACTTAAATGAAAGTTAAATTTAAAAAAGAAAAAAAAAGTAAGAAATTATGTTTGAACATCACTATGAACTTACTTTCTTGGTAGAAAAAAGGTATTCAAAGACATCAAACACATCTCCATTACCTTCTAGAAGTGTGTAACACAGTTTTTGTTTTGTTTTGTTTTTATTTTTTAAATGCTGCCTTGACCCAGTTTTGAGGCCTGGCCAGAGTCCAGTTATTACCCCTTCTTTATCAGCTGAAACATCTGCACTCCAAACACTTCCCTTATCAGGCTCTCACACTCCAGGTACCAGCCCTATCAGCACTCCCCTTTACTCCATCCACCAGGCCAAGTACCAGGCAACTAGGGACAGCCCCTATTCCCCAGAGCCCTTGGAAGTATCTAAATTAGTCTAGCCACAGGAAATCTGTTCAACTAGGCATTGCCCACCTTGCCTGCCTGGCACAAGCTGCCACCCTCAGCTCCAGCTTGCTGCTATCCTGCCCCGACGTGCAACCTATTGCATGGTCCTACAGGGCAGCCTTCTTTCCTTTGAGCTGTAAGTAACAAAGAGTTCTGCCTTTTATCTGTCTGAGTGTCCATGTATTCTGTCACATCATCAAAAGAATCGCTAAATCTCACAGGACACAGTGCTGACAAGGGCTTTGCTATAGGTAGTAGGCACCCTTCTGCCATCCTCCTGGAAGAAAGAAGCTGAGCCATCTCTGGGGCCCTGTACATTTCAGACACAGGGAAAGGACAGCGTGAATAACATTGGGCAGTGCTTGGGAATACATATGCAGTTTTTAGATAAAAAAGAGAAAGTAAAGCCCTTCAGGTTTTATATGATAACAAAGGAGAGTAAAAACTAGAGAGAAAAGACTTTCCTAATACTGGCAGATCCTAAAATATACATAGTACCCTATTTTATGGGGTGCTGAATTGTGACAATGAAGAAGAATACAAAAATAAGTAACGCTTCAGAAATGTTTCATGGACTCGAGCATCAATATAAAATTTCCAAGAGAAAAAAAAGCAGAGATGTCAACATTGTGCTGTGCAGGAATTACAGATAATATGACTCACCTTAAACACTGGTATCAGGGATTCTGCAAAGTCAAAAAACTGAACTGCAAGAAGGCAATGAACATTAGCTGAAGCTACAGATTATAGTTACACAACATAAACCAATACTATATATGGGCATACCTCTGAGATACTGTGGGACTGGTTCAAGGCAACTGCAATAAAGTAAATATCACAATAAACTGTTTTATTTTGATGAATTTTTGGGTTTCCCAGTGCATATAAAACTTACATTTAGCCTATACTTTAGCCTATTAAGTGTTCAATAGCATTACATCTTATAAACGTGTGTGTGTGTGTGTTTTTTTTTTTTTTGAGACAGTCTCGCTGTGTAGCCCAGGCTGCAGTGCAGTGGCGCGATCTCGGCTCACTACAAGCTCCAACTCCCAGGTTCAAGCCATTCTCCTGCCTCAGCCTCCCAAGTAGCTGGCTAATTTTTTGTATTTTTAGTAGAGATGGGGTTTCACTGTGTTAGCCAGGATGGTCTTGATCTCCTGACCTCGTGATCCGCCCGCCTTGGCCTCCCAAAGTGCTGGGATTACAGGTATGAGCCACTGCACCCGGCTAAAAGTGTGTATCTTTATTTAAAAATATGTTATTAAAAATAATAATCATCTGAACCTTCAAAGAGTTGTACTCTTTCTGTTGGTGGAGGGTCTTGCCTCAATGTTGATGGCTGTTGACTGATCAGGGTGATGGTTATTGAAGGCTGGGGTGGCTGTGGCAATTTCTTAAAGTAAGAGAATGAAGTTTACCACATTTGTTGACTCTTCTTTCCACAAAAGATTACTCTGCAGCATGCAATGTGGTTTGATGGCATTTTACCCACTGCTGTGGTTTAGCTGTGTCCCTACCCAAATCTCATCTTGAATTGTAGTTCCCTTAATCCCCACATGTCATGGGAAAGACCCAGTGGGAGGTAATTGAATCATTGGGACAGTTTCCCCCCATGGTAGCCTCATGATAGTAAGTCCTCATGAGATTTCATGGTTTTATAAGGGGCATCCTCCTTCGCTCAACACTCATTCTCTTTCCTGCTGCCCTGTGAAGAGGTGCTTTCTGCCATGCCTGTAAGTTCCCTAAGCCCCCCACAGCAATGCAGAACTGTGGATCAATTAAATCTCTTTTCTTTATAAATCACTCAATCTTGAGTACTTCTTCATAGCAGCATGAGAGCAGACTAATACAGTACATTCATACTGCAGAGAGTGGGGTGCTGCTATTAAGATACCTGAAAATGTGGAAGTGACTTTGGAACTGGGTAACAGGCAGAGGTCAGAACAGTTTGGAGGCCTCAGAAGAAGACAGGAAAATGTGGGAAAGCTTGGAATTTCCTAGAGACTTGGAGGGCTCAGAAGACAGGAGGATGTGGGAAAGTTTGAGACTTCCTAGAGACTTGTTGAATGACTTTGACCAAAATGCTGATAGTGATCTGGACAATGAAGTGCAAGCTGAAGTGGTCTCAGATGGAGATGAGAAACTTGTTGGGAAGTTCCAGTTTGTAGTAATTTGCCTCACAGCAAAAGAAAACAAACACATAGACCAAGGTAGTAGAGTCAGAGAAAGCATTCTGGGGGGAAAAAAAATGTATCCAGAATCCCAATGGTCAGAAGGAATTAGTAAAAGATAAAAGAAAGCCAAGTATTTTCTAAGCAAAGGTAGGAACATTAAAATTCCTGGAGGCAAGAGTTTGGGGAACAAGTATTTTAGTATACTTATGTGGAGAGGTATACCTTGGCAAAGAGAAACCAAAAGAAACCAAATCATAGTCATTTATTCCATAACAATAAATTATGTTTTATTCAGAAGGCTATGGTATATCAATAATAAATTTTAATCATGGAAAATTATAATCATATTTAAATTTATGCAGTTTACTCTGGGTACAGTATAAATTACTCCTGCAGTAGTTTGCTGAGGATATTATAAAGAAAAGGCTGCATAGGACCAAGGCTAAAGACTGTTAAAAAGGTTATTTTAATAATTCACACAGAAATAATTAAGATTTAAACTAAGATGGGTTATGGAGGTGAATTTGAAAGCTACTTAGAAGATGGACTCTACAGATATGGGTGGAGTAGAGAGAGGCAAATGAGAAGGGAGAGTCAAGAATAACTTTATGTTTTGGCATGTATACTAGTGGAATGGAAGTATTGCTCACTCCTGTTGAGAGCAAATAAAATTTCAGGTGGAATTTTAAGGTAAAATATATAATGAGTTCAATTGAAATGTTCCTTATAAAATCCAGCCGAAGAAATATAGTAGGTGTATTAGTCCATTTTCACGCTGCTGATAAAGACATACTCAAGACTAGGAAGTAAAAGAAGTTTAATGGGCTTACAGTTCCACATGGCTGGGGAGGCCTCATAATCATGGTAGAAGGCAAGGAGGAGCAAGTCACATCTTACATGAATGGCAGCAGGCAAGAAGAAAGAGCTAGTGCAGGTGAACTCCCCTTTTTAAAACTGTCAGATTTCATGAGACTTATTCACTATTACAAGAACAGCACAGGAAAAGATGTGCCCCCATGATTCAATTACCTCCCACCGAGTTCTTCCAAAGACATGTGGGAAGTGAGAATTATGGGAGTTACAATTCAAGATGAGATTTGGGTGGGGACAGAGCCAAACCATATCAGTAGACATTGGCTACGTGAGTATGAGCTCAAAAGAGAAATATCTGATCAGAAAATGGAGATTTGAGAATCACTAGGATATTCATGTAGTAGAAAATAAACAGTTGAAAAACAAAAAAGTGATTGTGAAGAAAAATGAAAACAAACAAAAGAGAAAAAATAAATTAGGGTGTCACAATAGCTTTGGGAGCAAACAAATTTAAGAAGGAGAGTGAGATCAATTATGTTAGACATAACAGAGAGGAAATAAACTAAGACTGAATAGTTTTCACCAGGCTTATTAAAAAAGTAAGTCACTGTTGACATTATCAAAGCTGCTCTGGATGGTGTTTTGGAAGCAGAGTCCAGATTACAGAGAGTTCAGAAATAAACTGAAAGTAAAAAGTAGTGAGCTACCAACTACATAATTATCAGAAGGCAAGCTTCTTTCAATAAACTTGTGAACAGAATAGTTGTTAACAAGATTGAGATGGTGTGTGTGTGTGTGTGTGTATGTGTTAGATAGAAAAGCTTAATCAAGTTTAAACACTGATGAAAATGATCCAGTGATTTAAAAATACCAGGGAAAGAGGAATGCCTGGGGGAGGAAAATCTTTCAGGTGTTAAGAAAGAATGAGATTCAGTACATAACTAGGCAGAGAACTATCTGTAAACCAAGGAAATAAACTAATCTTTTATTGACAGTGAGTCAGTCAATGATAAAGGATCGCCTTTCTAATGAACTTTAACTATGTAATTGATTGTTAATGATTGAATTGTTTCTCCCCGGCCCCCTGTCCAATTCCTATGTTGAAGTCCCAACTCCTGGTAAGTCAGGATATATTATTTGGAAATAAGGTCTTTGCAGACATCATTAGTTAAAAAGAGAAAATACTGGAGGGAAGTGAGCCTTTTTACAATGACTAGTTTCCTTATTAAAAAGGGGAAATTTGGACACAAAGGACACCTACAGGGAACCACCATGTGAAGATTGGAGTTATGCCATCACAAACCAAGAAACTACCAGATACCAGGCTTGAGGTCCAGAATAGATCCTTCCCTAGCACCTTTAAAGGATGCTTGGTCCTACCAACACCTTCATCTCAGAATTCTAGCCTCTAGAACTGTGACAATAGATTTCCATTGTCTAAGCCACTCAGTTTGTTTGTAGTACTTTTTTTGACAGCCTTAGGAAACTAATACATAGACACACCCATAATTTTCAATGGCTACACTTTATAGATCATATATAAGTAATTGAGTTGATATCTGATTTTTCAATAACTGATAAATGAAAAAAGAAAAAGAAGAATGGATGTAAAAAAATAGAGTACATAACCCATGATCATTTTCTACCTTAGTCTTTCACCTCAAAGCTCTCCAAGTGCTTATTCTTATTTCTAACATAGGATAATATTAGAAATTGATGGGCTTATCAGGATTTCTAATATAATAGTAATAGGTTTTTTATTTAAGTTATAAAAATAAAGTACCCTTATCTGTGCATATTTTAGTCACAACTTGATTCATAAGCAGCTGCCTACTTAAGTCAGTGTATGTAGCAGTAGTTTAACCTTCACACTATACTCATCTAATCATTCAGATAAACTGCAAAACTTACTGTGGTGGACCCTACTTCTTGTAGAGAGTTGAGCAGCCACCAACCACATTTAGGAAGCGTCACCACTTTCTAGTCAAAATATCTAGACAATGCCAGTCAAAATGCCGGTCAAAATGTCTAGACAATCTCATCAAGGTCAAGGTCACTTTGACCTCTAATCAGTACATGATGAAGTTCATGGAGACATACAATTGTTCAAATTCCTTTTCACACATAATCAAGTTGTAAGAGAAGTATCACCTCCAGACATGGGAAAAAATTTGAATAAATACCCTGCTACACATACTCGATCTCCATTCCATCTGTGCCTTATTAATTAAAAGAAAACATCTTTGAAGACTGAAAACTAGAGGCCACATGACAGATAACCAGCATTGTAATGTCTAAATGTTGAAAGCAACCTAAGTAAACAACCATTAAAAAATTGTTATTCAATGATAGTAAATGTTTTCACTGAAAATTATGCATTCAAAAAAATAGTCACAAAGTTGTAGTGTTATGATTGAATATATATTGGTTTTCATCCACAGTTCCTGGCTCATAACTCCGTGGCCTTTGCTACAGTCTTTTGTTATAATGGGTGCATTAGATCTCAGGGAAAGGCCTCAGGAAACAGAATCTCTCTCCTTTCTTTCTTGGGGCAGGACTCTAATCTTCCCCTGCTTTTCTAATTGTATTAAGTCCTTCCCCTGAGAGGGTCCCACCTCATATCCTGGAGGAAGGAATGCTTCCATAAAAATCCAAGAGAACTAAGTTCTAAGAGCTTTAGGATATCTGAATGAAGGTGTAGAGTTCCTAGAAGGAGGCGTGCCCAGGGTGGGCAAGGAAGCTCTGTGTCCCTTCCCCCATACCTCACTCTATGGTCACTTCATCTGTATCCTTTGGAATATTCTTTATAATAAACTGGTAAATTAAGTTAGTGATTCCCTGAGTTCTGTGAGCCACTCCAGAAAGTTAATCCAACACAAAAAGGGGGTTATAGAAACCTCAGCTTGAAGCTGGTCACTCAGATGTTCAGAGGGCCAGACTTGCAACTGATGTCTGAAGAGGACTCTTGGGGAATGAGCCCCCAATCTATTGGATCTGACAGTATCTTCAGGAAGATAGCATCAGAATTGCATTAGAGGATACCCAGCTGGTGTCTGCTGCTCTGTGTGGGGAACCCTCCCACCATACAGACACATTTGGTCACAGATGTCTTCATTGTTGATCGCTGTGGTATGAGAGTAGAGGAAAAACAGAGAGATTTTCTGTACACAAAAGTCCATGTGGTAAATGGAAAATACACTTTGTTTGTAAATGGAATTTTAAATGAAAAACCTGAAAATATGCAAAATTATGACAATTATTTTACTAGAGTTTTAGATTTATGTGTGATTTAATTTTTTTTAATTTCTAAACTTTGAGTAAAATGATTACAGTATTAAAGGCTCTAAGTACTAGAAAAAATACATTATCTGGGAAATAAAATATTTATTAAGAGATATTTAGTAATCATATAACCTATTGGAACCATGTTATAGTTTCTGAGTATTACTGTGTTCCAAAGAAAATATTCAGACCAAAAAAGAAAATTCACAACAACTGAAGATCTTCATTTGTATATCTTGAACATCATTATTAGAACACATAGTTCACCACAGTAGTTTCTAATATTGCCCTTTTCTCCTCTATCAGTTTCCTTGAATCACTTCAGTTGCGCTTCCACGTGCCCTACAGAACATTGCTTAGGAGCCATCGTCTTTCTATCTGCCCAGCTTTCCTTTTGATTCTGCATTATGAAAGCCCTTGAGAAAGTATCTGACAAAGAAGAATCCCCCTCAGCCCCATTCAGACTGTAGCTACGGAGTAAAAGAATTGAAGTCGACCAGGCCAGAAATTTGTTTTAGAGAATAGGGAGAAGGTAAAGTTTGGAAACAATTTTACATAAGTACCTCTCAGCTCCACAAAATGCAAACTATATGAGTATTTGCTACATAACAAATGTTGATGAAAAAGCCTAAATAACAAGCAATTGCAGAAAAAAATGGCATTTGTTAATCCTTTGGATATTAATAACACTTTACAAGTAGAAAAGCAATACTCATTTTGTTCATTAAATTAAAAAACACAGTCACAGTTCAAAAAGATGTTACTGTAAAATCTACTAAAATGTTAACATTGTAAAAAAAAATTGACAACTTATTAAAACATACAAATTAAACGTATAGTTTTAATTGGCATTGGATTGAGATTTATTTAGAAACTAACATTTCATAAAGGTAAATGGTACCTTATTTCTGTCAATAATTGTCAAATTATTTTGCTCGAACATAGAAACTGTATTTTTCAGAATTTGTCACATTGAGAGATTTGCACTTTAATGGTATTATATTATCTTGAAAGTAATAGACTTTTCTATTCACTTTGATTATCAATGTAAATATGATTCCTGTTCTTCCATTGCCACTTGAACTTTATCCAGCTGCACAACATCTAGCATCTTAAAAAGAGAGCCAGTCAAGTCACAGGATTATAACATAATAACAAGAAAACTACATACAGTTGACCCTTAATGTACATACAGGTTTGGGCTGGGCGTGGTGGCTCATGCCTGTAATTTGGGAGGCGAAGGAGGGTGGATTGCTTGAGCCCAGGAGTTCCAGACCAGCCTGGACAACATGGTGAAACCCCATCTCCATAAAAAAATACAAAAATTAGCTGGGCATGGTGGTACATCCCTGCAGTCCCATATACTTGGGAGGCTGAGGTGGGAGGATCCCTTGAGCCCTGGAGGCAGAGGTTGCAGTGAGCTGAGATCATGCCACTGCACTCCATCTCAAAAATAATAATATACAGGTTTGAACTGTGTAGATCCACTTATAAGTGAATATTCTTCTGCCTCTTCCACCCCTGAGAAAGCAAGGCCAACCCTTCATCTTCCTGTTCCTCCTCAGCCCACTCAATGTGACGAGGATGAAGATAAAGATGCTTATGATAATCTACTTCCACTTAATGAATAGTATATATTTTCTTTTTCTTATGATTTCCTTAAAAACATTTTCTTTTCTCTAGCTTACTTTAAGAATACAGTATATAATACATAAACAAAATACATGTTAATCAACCATGTTTATGTTATCAGTAAGACTTCTAGTCAACAGTAGACTGTTAGTAGTTAAGGTTGAGGGGCATCAAAAGTTATACATGGATTTTCAACTGCATGAGGGTTGGTGCCTCTATCTCCCTTGTTGTTCAAGGGTCAAATGTAGTGAAATATATGGATACTGAGGTATATGCATAACAAACTAGATAGGTAGTTTTCAGTAGGGTGTGGAAGTAAATTTTTTCTAAATCATCTGGGAAGCATTTCAAAGATTTATAGTCCCCTCCCACTCCTTCTCATTCCACAGCTCCAGACTTATCAAAACCAACTAGAGATGTGAATTAGAACACATCATTTTCATCCTTGTAACCTCACTTTTGGAACACATTGTTATTGAAAATCAGTTGAATAAAGGAATGATTACCAAAATATATAAAATCAGCATATGCATTTATGATAACTGGTATGCTATTTGTTATTATAATCACAGTGTGCTATAAATTGTCTTCATATAGAGAACACTTTCCATTATCCAGGATGATGGGGAAAAGACAGGTTTTTCAAGAATTATTCAGCTAGTCACGTGCATATGAAACGAGGAACAGTATGGGCAAGGTTGAGCACTTCTTCACTCAGAATGCTACTACATAAGGAAAGTCCTCTAATTTGGAGTAACTTTTAGCTTATTTACTCTCTCCTATTTATCTCAGTCTTTAAACTGGCTTAATATTTTACCTTTCAATAAATAAATGTAATGACAACAAATAGCAACAAAAATTCTGTGATTCTGACTACTATTCCTGACTCTCATTCTTGTATTAATGAGTTTTTTTTCTTTTTTTTTGTAAGTTGCAGCATGTGCTTTCCAGCTCTCTCAGCTATAATTCACTTATTATACTGGAGTCCTGTTGATGTGGTGTTAAAAAGTTGGGGAGGGAAAACATTCTATAATCTTACAATTACAGCTGGTCTTAAGTGGGCCTGTATCCCTGGGCTGTGTCTTTCTTAGTGTATTAAATTGGCACATATTATAAAATTAACCATCACAGTTTTATTTCTTCTATGTAATGTGGACAGAAAGGTTAGAGAGGCCTGGAATTCAGTAAGAATTCTTTCTCCTTGGTGAGATAAATATTTGACTGGTAAAGTGTTTTCTCCTTGGAAGAGGCTTATGTATAGAGAATTCTCTAGGCATATTTCAGATGGTTACTTTTCCCCATCCCTGACAAAGACAAAAGGTGCTTTTTCTTAGTTCCTTACCGTAAGAACCTGATGGGATCCCTAGAGGTGAGAGTCATCAAAGTGTGCGGGATTCCCTAAGAATGTGATCCCCAGGAGTTTCTTACTCTCAAGCTAGTCCACACTCAGCATTCAGTCAGATCTTCATCGGAATTACCATTTAAGTGTCCCTACCAGTTTATGGTTTCAGTGACTTCTGCTGCAGTTAAACGGATCTTAGCTGCTTTTCTCTATAATCGCCTGCCTTTCTAGATTTGGGAGTAGCAGTTAGTTTTATGTCCTAATTTATCTGATGAGCCCAAGAAATATTGTTGATTTTCAGTTTGTTCAAATTTTTCTTATTTTAAGGAATAAATAAGCTTGGAAGGAGTAATGCCTTCCAAGCTTTTTAGCTTTTAGAGAAGAAACCAGAAATCCCCCAGCCTGGCCAATATGGTGAAACCCCATCTCTACTAAAAATAGAAAAATTAGCCAGGCATGGTGGCCTATGCCCGTAATCCTAGCTATTCGGGAGGCTGAGGCAGGAGAATTACTTGAACCAGGGAGGCAGAGGTTACAGTGTTGCAGTGAGCCAAAATTGCACCACTGCACTCCAGCCTGCGCGGCAGAGCGAGACTCCGTCTCAAAACGCACTTCGGGAGGCCGAGGAGGGGGGATCTCGATCACAGGAGATCGAGACCATCCTGGCTAACACGGTGAAACCCCATCTCTACTAAAAACAGAAAAATTAGCCAGGCGTGATGGCTGGCACCTGTAGTCCCAGCTACTCGGAAGGCTGAGGCAGGAGAATGGCGTGAACCCGGGAGGTGGAGCTTGCAGTGAGCCAAGATTGCGCCACTGCACTCCAGCCCGGGCGACAGAGCTAGACTGTCTCAAAAAAAAAAAAAAAAGAAAGAAAGAAAAGAAAGAAATCCCTGTCCTTGACTTCTCACCTTCTCCCAACATTCCATATGCAGCTGACAAACAATCCCCTTTTTCACCGAAAATTATTTTAATTCATTCATTTCCTTAAATTCCCATTGCCACTGCCTTTATATCTGGTTAGAAATATTCATAACTGCTTTCCCTGCCTTTGTTTCAACACCCACTAAAAAAGCCTTAATAGAGTTTTTTAAATATATTTCTTCACTTCCCTATTAACGATAAGATCTGAGGATAGAAGTCATATTTTGTCATTGTACGTCTCAAATCATCTAGTCCAATAATTTTCACAGAGAAGGAGTTCAATAAATATTAATTGAATGAATGAATGAATGTGTGAGTGATCTACTGTCTTCTAATTAGGCTGAAATTTGAAGTTAAAATTGATTTTTATTTCCTTAGATTAGTCTACAAATTCCTTAAGGAAAAATATTTTTTGCCCACAAATATATTCCATCTATGACCCAAGAAGACGCCTCCTGGTGGTATTCTAATTAACTATTCAGTGAAGGCCGACCAGGAAATATGCAATATAATCAAGACTGGATTTTTTCTTATCCTGGGCAATTAATCCTTGAATACTCAAGAAAGTGTTTATCAGGAAATAATTTTACTGCCTTTCACAGTACTAAATCTATTTAGGAAAATACTTTATAATAGAAATGTTCTTCATTTTATTTTTGTTCCTATATCGGGCATTTAATACACTGCGTTCATATTCAACAGTCTCTTCAATACGATTTTATCTTTTTTTGTAAGGTACATCACAATCATTATTACTGTCTTTCATAAATAAACTGAAATAGAAAACACAAATAGAAAAGATAAGTGACTTGCTCAAGGCAAACATAAAAGTTATCAAAAAAGCCAAAATAAAAGATAATATTTCAGTAACAAAAGACAGGTTTTCATACTTGCAAACAATGGCTATATAAAACTGGGAAAATTGCAGATATTTTTATTGTCCCTAATATCTAAAGCCAGGATTGCTTAATACATGTAAAGCTACTTTCAAGAGAACACAGAAAAAAAGTATTAAAAACACCTTATTGTTTTCAATCTTATAAGGAAAGTCACAACAATTTAACTCATTTATGTATTTCATATTTTATCAAAAAAAAGTGTTTCAAGTTTAACATCTAATCAAATAAGAGAAGATTACACACTCAGTTCCATGGGCTTTATGTCCATCATTTCATTAAATTTGATTTTAAAGAAATGCCATGAGTTAGGTTAGTATTACAGAGATTTTATGGGACAGGGGCTCAAAGCCCCAGTAACCAGGATTCCACAGATACAGTACAAAAGAGGTTTGCACATTCATATTTGATGAATCACTATTTTTTGAGCTCAGCACAGTGTCTGTTTCTGTAGAGAATAAAAGTGTTATGGTGCATACTCTTTCTATTCCAGATTCTGAGTGATATAGTTTGGAAATTTGTCTCTGCTCAAATCTCATGTCGAGTTGTGATCCCCAGTGCTGGAGGTGGGGCTTGGTGGGAGGTGTTTGAATCATGAGGGTGGATCCCTCATGGCTGGGTGCTGTCTTCCGGATAGTGAGTTCTTGTGAGATCTGGTAATTTAAAATTATGTGGCGCCTCCCAGCCACCCTTCCTTGTTCTTGTTTCTGTTCTCACCATGCAATGTGCCTGCTTCCCTTTGCCTTCCGCCACGATTGGAAGCTTCCTGAGGCCTCCCCAGAAGCACATGCTACTATGCTTCCTGTACAGTCTGCAGAACTGTGGGCCAATTATACCCCTTTTCTTATAAATCACCTAGTCTCAGGTATTTCTTTATAGCCATGCAAGAACAGCCTAATACACTGACAGTTTATGGTCTCTAAAAGATCACGCATATATGGAAATATTGATACTTTAGTCAATTTAGTTTACCTTTACAAACCATTTTAATAAAGTAAAAAGGGAGTATTCTTGGAGCAAGGAGGCCTCCTGACCGTTTGTCTTGCTTACAGAGCCTCCTTAGTTCATTATTATTTTAAGAGAATCATTTGAATGAATATAATGATATAGAAAAGCCTACTGTCCTTTGCCTATTTCTTTTCCTTTCAGACTAGAGAACTGGATGGAAAGAGTCTTTATTCTTTCCTTTCATCTTCAACTTTTGAATAAGTCATGGTGGATCATCTAGGCCTCCTGAACCCCAATCTTCAATTGATGTTAGTCAGGTTTTCAGAATTCCCTAGGGTATGTGGTCTGTAAAAACAATAAAAATAAATAACAGTCCTTATATTCTACCAACTCAGCATTTTGCTTGAATTATTTTGGGGATCATCAATGAAACTTAAATGTTCTTAAAGATAATTTAGATGGGAAGCGTAAAAGGACACCAATGTTTAGACTTACTTTTTTAGGATTCTGGTCTATCTCCTTTTTGGAAAACAAGAGCATACAAGTTAAAGACCAAACTTGTCCACACTGAGAAGTAAATAAGCTAGGCTTCCCTAATCCAACAGATGATTACCTTAACTGCCTAACAGGAACTCAGGGAGGGTCAAGTCCTGAGGGCATCTATATCAGTGAGGGTTCTTTTGACAGTAAATAAAAAGATACCTACTTATAAGTGGCTGAAATAGAACCTATATGTATTATCTTATATAACAAGGTGACTAGAGGTAAGTGGTTCCAGGCTCGGTTAATTCAGCAGCACAAGAATTATTTAAAGAATAATTTAAATCATCAAAGGCCCACATATCATATATTTTATTTTCACCCATCTGCACAGGATTGGCGTTGGTTTTCAGATTTGATTCTTCAGAGTTGTTGGAAGGCAAATACAGATCCAAAAAGCATGTTCTCAGTCAACTGTATTTAATAGGGGGAAAGACATTTTCTCCTCACAAGTATACTTTTCATCCAGTTTTTTCCTCTGGTCCATTGGCCAGGATTGGGTCACATGTCTAAGCCGTAGCTTCAAAAAAATATCAGGTATTTTTCAGCTCGTGGGCTCAGTGTCAAGGAAGAATGTCTGTGTGGGGAGGGGATCACCAAGGTGACTGCTACAGAATCTGAAATTGTAAGGATACATGCATAACCCATGAGGAACGTCTGGTGTGAGCTTGAACTCATAACACACATTACTTTAACTTTCATTCAGTAAAGCATTTAGGAATAAGTGAATGTTAAATGCTAACCATTGGGAAAAGAAAGAGCTGAGAATGCAGCAGCACATAAAATGGTGCTAGGGACAGATTCAAATTGCACAAGACGCAGATTTTTTTTTTTTAAAGTATGATGAGCGTTATGTAAGATAATTATTAGATTCCAGGAAAACCTAGCCCAGTCTTTTTTGAAGAAGTAATGTATACCTTGAAATAAGAAGCATGAGTAAGATTTTACCACAGAAAAAGAGGAAGAAAACACCTGAATATGTAAAAGAGAACACAGAAATTTCAAAGAAATAAAAGATATTTAGTATAGATGAAATATCAAAGCACAATTGGATTGAATGGCACTTGAAATACTGGAAAATAAGTCATATCATTTGTGCTTCTTAGACTTTATCTTAAGAATACAGAGAATGAATGAAGCAGTAAAGGGTTTTTAACAGGGATATGACATAATATTTGCATAAATCTGAAAGGAAGATCCATTGAGGGAAATAAGACGAGTAGTTAAGGTTGGAAGAGAGGAAGTGAGAATACCAACTAGGATTAGAAGAAGGAGATAAAGTATATTTAACTAGGATGATAGTAGTGGCCCTGAATTATAGATTTGCTCCTTAGTACTCTGGGAAAATGCTCAGATACTGTCTGAAGCAATTTTTACCAAGTTATCAACACATCTGGTTTTGAAATAAATCATAGTAAATTAATTCAATATGGTTTAATGTTAGAGTTAATAAAGAGTTTTTTTTTTAAGTCAACCAACAATCTCTATCCCTTATCTCTAAGGAATTGGGAATCTTGAGGGATGCAGGGTGCCTTCTAGTTTAAACATGGTATCCCACATGTAGTTCATTTGCTTCACTGCAAAAAAATGTTTGCTCCACAAGCACATGGCAAGATGTAGAAAAAAATGTGTAATCTCTGAAGTGTTGGTTTGCAGAATGATAGATTTTTTTAAAAAATATGTTAGTGTATGGGTTTCTTTTTGTGTTTTTTTTTTTTTAAGAAATGCATTCCCAATAAGATACTGCCATTTAATGGAAAACTTATTTACAATAAATTTTGCTTCTTAGATATTTTCATAGCAAGGCTTACTTGCAGTCATCCAAGAAGAGATACATCTATCCATGCACTCATGCACATTCTATTTTCAAATTAATCTTCTCCAGTAAATTTTTTGAATGCTTGAATTCCATTTCTTTCTATTTAGGGAGTTGTGAATACAAGGATAGAGTTTAAATTTTCTTCCTATCATAGTCTTCCAATTGCCACTGATGTGTAAAATACAGACTCAACAAATTAGCTTTGTTAGTCCTAAATTTTCTACTACTTGCAATCATAGCTTTAAGCAGCACAGTGTTCAAGATAATATAATCTGAGTTATTTGGTTACAGGCAAAAATAGTGGTTATGTTTTTGAGAGAACTCCAGGAAAATAGTCTAGGAAATGTATTCAGTATTGAGTCTTTTATTTCCCCAGATATTAAACCAAATGAATAAGAAAACATTTTTTTTTTGAAAAGGAACACTATGACAAACAAGATCAACAAATATTTATTTGGTTTTAACTGTATGCCAGGCACTCTGAACATATTATCAAATCTAGCCCTTAAAATTGCCCTGAGTTAGGAACTTGTATTTTGTGATTAAGCATTGAGACATTAATGCTTTAGATGTGTAAACATTTTACCTAATCTCCCAGAACTCTTCAGCAATAGTTGGACTGTTTGGCTTTAATTTCTAGCTATTTCAATATGATGTTATATTGCCTCATAACACATGTACAATACGCTGAAAATTCTTGGTGGTTTTAAACACACTTTAATGTGTTTAAAGTAGTTAATACAACAATCCTGCTGGCTATATACAATAGATATTAATATCTATATTGTACAGATAATAAAACTGAAACTGAGAAAGTTAAATACATTTTTCAAAGTCACACAGTTAAGTATATAGATGGAGATAAGTGATGGCATATTCATTTGAACCTGTACATTCTGACATGAAAGCACAGTTTTCTAGTATTCATGAAAGCACAGTTTTCAAATTATCCATGATTAATAATTGATGATCAGAAGAAAACTAAGTCAAGGAGGAAAATAGGAAGTACTAAGTGTGAGGTCTTAAAGTCCAATAAGTTACGCTTACAGGCTTTTTTTTTTTTTTTTTTTTTTGAGATGGAGTCACTCTGTAGCCCAGGCTGGAGTACAATGGCACTACCTCAGCTTACAGCAACCTCTGTCTCCCAGGTTCAAGCGATTCTCCTGCCTCAGCCCCCCAAGTAGCTGGGATTACAGGCGCCCACCACCACGCCTGGCTGATTTTTGTATTTTTAGTAGAGATGGGGTTTCACCATGTTGGCTGGGCTGGTCTCGAACTCTTGACCCTCAGGTGATCCACCCGCCTCAACCTCCCAAAGTGCTGGGATTACAGGCATGAGCCACCGCTCCCGGCACTTAGAGGCATTTTTAATTTGTCTGTTTTATAGCACAGATTCATTGATTAGTTAATCATTCATACGAATTTCAACAAATACCTTCTGAGTGCCTATCTTGTGCCAGATACTGCGAATATAATGTTGAAAGATATAAGCTTATGGTTGAGAATGGAGAGGATGAAGTTAACTAAGGATTACTGGGGATGGTGAGATAGGAAACAATAAGAGAGAGAAATGCATAGAGTATTGGGTACTTACAGAATTTTTAAAACTTTGTCATTTACCAGCTGTTTGACCTTTCTCAAATTGCTCAAATCTCTTGGCACTTCAGTTTCCTCATTTGTAAAATGGGGAAAATATTAGTGCTTATTTAATAAGGTTGTTGTAAACATTAACCTATATGGTGAACACTAACGTGTTAATACATGTAAATAATTTAGGAGTACCTGACTTCCAAGCATTTAACAAACATTAGTTGTTAAGCATTAAACAAATGTTGGATATTATGATGATAAGTCATGTTTCCTATTAACATTAAAGTCTATTACCAAAGTTTATTCAATAGATAGCTAGCTTACCTTAATAGGTGACATTAATTAAGTCTACTAATTGGAGCAAGACTTTCTCAAATAAGGATTTGTGTTCAAAACAAGGTCAGTTTGAGCTGTGAACATTTTCTTAAGACTTTTGTGTAATCTTCTATTATCTTTGAGATAACTTTCAAGAAATTTTCTTCTTTTAACCAAAAGACTTAAATTCAAAATTATTCTGTTCAGCAACACATCTCCCTTGTCTTTTAGTAACTATGAGGTGATCTACCTGCTTTGTCAAAACAAAAAGTAAGATTTGCCAGTGTATTACAGACTTACAGCACAAAACTTACCTCCTTGATTTCAGGAGAATTGAATTGGAATTTAAAAGAGGAATTGCATTACCTCATACAGTACAATTGTTTTACTGTTGTATCCAAGAATTATTGAAAACATAAAATTTACTATCTGGTACTTTCCATATTTGGGGATACACTGCTCTAGCCTAACCCCCTCATTTTATAAAGACAGATGCATTGCATGCTGTGTAAGCTGCTGTCTCAAGGCCGTACAACTAGATGATGGAGAAGTCTTTGCCAAAGTCAGGCCTCCTAATTGTTCATAGCACAGAACCAACTCTCCTTCACACACATGGCAACTAGATAGTTGATTCTAGATTGGGAGACATTTTCCTCAGTGATAGGCTAAGGAAAACCTCTACCTACCAAAGTGGTCGTATTTTTAAATATCTGTTTTACAAAAGAAAATCCTCTGTGCCAAATATCCAATCTCTTACTCCACAAAGAATATGAAATATTAGCTAAAAATTTATAAATGTGGATAACAATTTTGAACATGATCATTCCATAAGTGAAAAATGTACCTTCCTATTTACGATTAACCCATTATCATTATTCTGCATTAATTGTGAAATCTACATATTTATAAGTCACTTCTAAGGAAAGAAGTCCATACATGTGGCACAGTAGTAATCAGCTTTAGAACAGAAACTGCTGCATTTAAAAAACATCAACTTACAATGAAGATAAAACAAAATTCCCCTTAAAGTGATCTTTTCTTACTATTCACATTTGTAGTTCAAAAATCGTCTCTCCATGTTTTATATTTTACAACCTTATCTCTTTTACTGTAAAACTGTTTCTAGAACAATACATCTATGTTACCAAACTATCTGTACCTGAATGGAATAATAATTAGTTACATTGTTTGATCAGGCACCTCACAAAGCTGTAGAAGAGTTAACAAAAGAATAATTATTATTATACTTTGACATTTTAAGAAGATACTCCAGCCCTCTGTGGAGAGAAAACAGGCTATATTTTTATCACTTGATCTCAAGTACTCAATTCATGATTCTTATATGGTCTATATAGGAGGATATGTGAGAGGGTTAATTCAATTGTAATCTTTGAGGTGGTGAAGAGTCATTATGTTACAATGAATCATTTTTTTCCTTTGTTAAATCAATTATAGGAGAACTCAAATAGAAAAGGATCTTGTCAATAAATAATCTGAGCAGAGTTTAGACGTTACACATTTCATTTACAACATTGATTAGCAATTTGTAATTTTTTAACTTAAATCCTTAAGTCTGACTTCATGATAGCTGTCCATTTTTAAGGCTGAGGATTGTACTCTTACCTACAGGTCCTATTAGTGGTCTTTTTGGAATAAGAACAGATGAGATTAATGAGCTTATTATAATTCATTAGGAAGTGTTGTGTGGATGACTGCCTACTTTAATTAGTTTTATTACTGTAGGAAATTGTTTCATATGCCAGGCTCATCACCAAGCATGCCTGGAAAACATTACAGCAGTAATCAGAGTTGATATTATGTACCTTTCATTAGACAGTATGGCTAACAGCACTTAATAATGAACAAGGAAGGTATTAAAAAGATGGACATGACACAATCTAGCAAAAAGGGATTTATCAGATCAATTCTTAGTGAAGAAGGTGCAAAGTACAGTACTTTAAAATACTGTTGTGGCATACAGGTACTAGGCTCATAATTATGGCAAACAGTTTAAATATGTCAAGTTTATTCAATAAATCTCAATGCAAATTTTCTATGACTCATTATATTATCATGAAAATGTTAGTAACTAACTCTTCTAATAGTGTGAGGCTTCAAATAGCATTTCTTAACCATCACTATCCCCAAAGAATAATACACCCACAGATAATTTTGAGCAAAGAGAAAAATCAAGTCACAATCCTAAGGAAGCAAATCTAAACATAAAATATATTTCATATTAGAGGTAAATGAAGAAAGTATAAATCAATTTCACAGGAATTTACCATGCTGTTTTCCTAAACGCTGATTAACACAAAAATATTTTTAATGCTTCTAATATTATTCTTTTAACCTGAGATCAAAATGTAACCTTATAGTTATTTTGTAATTAAATTTCTGGCCTTAAATAAGTACTGAGAGTTCAATCTCATAGACTAACTAGAAATTAAATAAAAATGATGTGCCCTTATATCTCACTCCCAAGGCACTTACAGTATTTATAACTTACCAACTTTTATTTTATCGTATCTTATGTAGTGTTTAGCCAGCACAATTCTCATTTCATTGATCAAAAAATGAATGTCATTGCATTTTTATATCTATTGACAGCATGCTGAAGTTTCTGAATACCCGATCTAACGTCTCCTTTTTTGAGTATGTTCTTTCAATATTTAAATTTCTTCTTCTAAATATGTGAGCTATTACCTCAAGACATTCTAATTTCTCTTCTGCTATTACAGAAATAATGTTATTGTAATTTTGGATGGGAACTACAATTTCTGGGCTCTCCCATTTTGTTTTTACTAGAAATATTCTAATTACAAAGCATTACAGTTCAATAAACTATCATTAAGCCACTAGTGCAGAAAATACCAACACCTGGTTTTCCATTCAATATAGATGTAATTTAGGGTGGATAAAGTCTAATCTTAAAAAATACTGGAGAGGAGGTGGGAAGGTATTTGAAGGTAGCTTTTTATTCCTGAGTAGTCTTATTAAACAAAATAATCACAAACCTAACCATCATCACTAACAATAATAGCTAACACAAAGCACCTCAGTTCCAAACCCCATCAAGCATTTTTAGTGTCCTAAAGGAAGTTGCTTGCCTAAGGTTCCCTAGCAGTCTTCAAAGTTACATTGTAAAATTCTGATGTGTCGATTCATCTTTCAAGGCTGCCAATCAAAAAGCATTATAAAGTCAAACAATAGAGATGATGTGAATTAAGGTAAGGGCAATCAGTAGTATTACAAATGTCTGCCCATTCTATATTCATTTTTGAGACAGAGTTTCGCTCTTGTTTCCCAGGCTGAAGTGCAAAGGCGTGAACTCGGCTAACCGCAACCTCCATCTCCTGGGTTCAAGCAATTCTCCTTCCTCAGCCCCCTGAGTAGCTAGGATTAAGGGCATGCACCACCATGCCTGGCTAATTTTGTATTTTTAGTAGACATGGGGTTTCTCCACGTTGGTCAGGCTGGTCTCGAACTCCCGACCTCAGGTGATCCGCCCGCCTTGGCATCCCAAAGTGCTAGGATTACAGGCATAAGCCAACATGCCTGGCCTCTACACTCATTTTTAAACATTGCTCTTTACTCTTTTTGGAATATATTTCATTTCGTGTGCAACACAGATTATTCATTAGAGTAAAATAGGATATAAAAACTTAGGAGGAAAAACAATATTTTTTCCTTCTGGGACATAAAAGGTAAGGATTGTCACAAGAAAAGACACATAATAGATAATATCATTTTTTGACACAATAAGAAAAGCCTATTTTTCTTTAAGAGGAAATCAATTTTAACAGACAAGTCACAGTAGTTCTGCCAGGATGTACTTCAGATTAGAGAATGATTTGAGGCTTCATTTTATCTGCTACAACAGAACTCAAATGTTTGAATTCTACATTAACTTAAGCCCATGCATGGAAACATTTCCAAGTATGAAAGGAGTCTGGTGATTGACTGATATATTATAAGAAACTTATAATTCCTTGTTAGTTTTTCGAATGACACTGAAATATTTGCATTTTGTTCCAGTAGTGACTGTAAGTTATACCTGACATTTTCTGTGAGAAATTTTATCTGTTAGAATATATAGAACAGTAATCAATAAATAATGAGTATAAATTTATTATGTCTCTCACTCATCACCTCTCAAAAACTGGTCTCAATTTTTATAATATATAGTAATTAACCTGAAGTTTGTCATATATTTTCTCTCAGACATTTATGACATGATTGTCATAATATATTGATTCAAACACAAAACTCTAATCATATTATTCCCTATCTCAGTAAAACATTATCTTTGAATAACAATATGATAGGAACTTCTCTAAGAAATAAGGGAGTGTGTTTATAATTTGATATCTTATGTATATCTTACATGCTTTCTGAAAAATTATTTCCTTTTTTATTGAATAACACAAATGTTAGTGGCTTTCTTGCCTTAGATCAAATTTTCTCAGGGTGAAAAGTCACTATAGAACTAAAGCTGGTTATATGAGGAGAATTGCATAATTTCTTGTTTTAGTCTGGCAGCACCTGGGATTTAAACAAAGATCAAAACTCGAGTATCCATATAGACAAAATTTATACTGGCTATATGTTTTAGCTCCTACCAAGTGCCAGTGGTAATGACACCTAAGAATTACTGCATGAAACAAATTTAAGTCAAAATATTGGAGAAATAGTAACAGGAAACCAGAGGATACACCACACAAAGCTGTGTTTAAGAAGAAAAACAAGTAGTATCCACTGAGGTTCAAAAAGAAAGCCAATTTCCCATGCCAATATCAAGATCTATGAAATAGCTTCAAAATTGAAAATTTACAAATTAAGCCACCTCATGCATTATGGCTCAATATAAAATATTTTAAAGTTGTTTGTAATAAAAATAGTATCTCACTTTCTACAAAAATATGCATTTTTTTCTTTTCTTTTTTTTTTTTTTTTTAGTGCCCGGCATTTTCTAAATAAAATCATTTTATTTGGTAAAAGGGTTTTAACGTTATACCTTTCTAGCTAAAAGAAAAGAAATAGTGGGATGTACAAATAGTAGATATTTATATCTACCAATTCAAGTATAAATCTATAAGGTGATATAAATGGGTCAATACATTTTAAGAACATCTATTTCTGAATTTTAAAAAGTGGTCCCTCAATAATATTGTCTAAAAAAAGATAATTATCGAATAAATCCAATAAATCAAACTAACAATCTTAGAATAATATATTTTATAAGCAAAGTATCATTAGAAATGAAAAATAATATTTCATATTTTATTTCGAATGAAGGGATATTTCATTATAAAGATAAAAGCCACAGAAGGTTAATTATGATAATTTATGTAAATATTCGCAGAGTGTAGGCACTTTAAAATCATAGCTATATAAAAGGGTGAATAGCCAACAATGCATTAAATTCCATAGCTATATTTATGATAGCAAAAGCAATCCCATGCAAACAGATATTCTGTACTTGGAGGATAATCATGAGTTCCTGAATGATTAAAAAACTACTCACCTCTAGTAATTTTTTTCTTGTGAAACAAATTAAAAATCACAACTGTTTTTTCTTCCAACTTAGGTGATAGATTTCCTTTGCATTATTGTTAAAATGATTTGTTCTATTCAGACTTAGTAAACTATTGAGCAAGAAATTTTATTTGGCTCCTATAATTTTTACTATATAAGTAACTCAATGATTTTAGTTATTTGCATGTGGTTGTGCTTTTGTGTGTACATGTGTGAGACAGAAAACAAAATCTCATGAAAGACAAAGAAATAATGAAGCATTGTAGTGAGAGAGAGTGCTAGTGAAAGAGATTTGGCATAAAAAAAGTCAGTAGAGGGAAATAGAATGACAGAAAGAAAAAGGAATACAATGATGGCATAATACATGGTAACCACTGAATACACTAAAGGATAGCAAGGAAATAATAGTTAACATAAGAGATGTTACTTGCTCTGGGATTTTCCCCTAACATTTGAACACAATATTAAGATACTTAAAATCTTGTTCAATAACTCATTATTTTCTATATGTTATTATTGAAATATTGACTTGGATGACCCATGTCCCAGTCTCAAAATGTTAATATTTATATGCCCTAATTTTTCTCACTTTATTTACAGTTTAACCTTCCATTCGCATAATATTTGGTAGCAAACATTTATTGAGTGCTGTATTAGTTATCTATGGCTGCATAGAACATTAAATGGAACAAGTATTTATCATCTCACACAGTTTCTGTGAGTCAGGAATTTGGGTATGGCTTAGCTGGGTCTTGTAACTAAAGGTCTCTTCTGGTTGTAATCATGCTGTAGGCCAGGGCTATGGTCTTCTCAGCTACAGATCCACTGGAACTGATGGATCATTTTCTAAATTCACTCATGAAGGTCTCACTGTTGGGTTCCTCATGACATGGAAGCATTCCCAGGACAAGGGATCCAAGGGAGAGTGAGCCAGAGCCTCACAAATGGGCCCCACAGCCTCTTCAAAACCTAGTCTCAGCAGTAGCTTTCCATCAGTTCCGTTGTATCATATTTGTTAGAAGCTAATAAACATAGCCTTCACTCAAAAAATGGGGATTATATGAGGGCCTGAATACCAGGTGGTAGGGATAATTGAGGATCACTATACTCTGCGTATTGGCCTCTAATTAACATCCAGTTAACATTCCTTTTACATGTAAAATATACTCACCCACTTCCACCAACGTCAAAAGTTTGATACTACTGTAGTACCTACTCAAATTAAATAATCTTGTCATCTGAATCAGGTTCAGCCATGGTGTAGACACTTCAGGTCTAGTTCCATAAATACATATCCTTGAATATAATCCCTCTTCGTCTGAAAACTGGTAGATACTGGTTTCCCAAATACACAACAGATAATAATGATACAGATAGAGGGTAACTGCTTTAAACATTTCTGTTCAGAAAGGGGGGAATGGCAGGTACAAAAAAGCCACTGGCCTATAACAATTCTGAAGTCCAATTATGCAATTACTGGAAGTTACTTAATAAGGTCAAAAGACTTTGTATAATTCTCCATGGCTCTTGGCTTTAACTGCTGGGGTCTGGTTCTGCCCTCTGAGTCATCATTCAGTTGAGCAGCTCTCTCAGTCTACTCCCTATCAGCATAATTCTGAGAGCCCAAACGGTTTCTTCTAATTCTAAACTGTCTCTGTTCCCCACTTTGTTCAAGCTGAAAATGTTTCTGCATCTATAACTTAAGAACTTCATGGGTCTCCTGTGAAGTTTCTTGGGGTTTATATCATTTGACAAAAGCCACATTCAAAAATCTCTTGAGATAAGCCCTTCTCTATCTTGAGCTCCTACTTCTATGGATGAGCAATAATGTCTTTAAACTTTCTAGAAGCTATAATAATGTTTCAGAGGACACAGAGGGTATGCTCTTAATCTCTTTAAGGGCTTTCTGAGTCACCAGCTTTAATCTTTCTGAGGTCTTGACAAAAGATTTTATGTATACCCTCACTTTCATTTTTGGACTACATTTTCCTGGAAGTACTCTGAATTTGATCTTTGATTGAAGCCATTTCTTAAATTTAGCATTATTTGATTTCTAGAGAGGCTGAGAATTTTCAAAGCCATCACAAGTACTGGCTCCTCTTTGGTTAACAATCCTTCCTTTAATTTATCTCCCCACTCTATAGATGTACTGCTAGAGAAAACGAGACAGCACCTTCAACTCTTTGCTAAGACATCTCCTTAGGCAAATCGTCCAGTCTTTTAGGCACATTTTCTATTTTCTGCCTTACTTTAATCAATGTTGTTGTTAAACTTTCTGATACTATATAACAAGGATTATCTTTCCTCCAGTTTCCAATACCATTTATTTAAATCTTCTGAAAGTCCTAACCTACAGCCTTATTGAAAACTATGAGACATGTAACAATAGCTCCGTCAAGGCACTTTCCACTTTCACTAACATTCTCCTTGAAATCTGCTGACCAGATCCAAAGTTACCTTCATATTTTAGACTTATTACAGCAGCATCCTACACTCAGAATAAAAATCTATATAGGTATCTGTTGTTATTTAACAAATTATCACAAAACTCAGCAGCATGGAATAAGTTTCAATTATTTCACAGTTTCTGTGGGTCAGAAATTAGGCCTAGCTTATGTTGGTGCCTCCAGCTCAGTATCTCATGATGTTGGATTCTAACTCCTGGCTAGGTGTATAATCATCCCAAAGCTTGACTCAAAGATTGCATCTACTTACTCACAAGGTCGTTGGCAGGCTTCAGAAAACCTGTTTCCAAGTAGTCATTTGGACCTCTCCACAGGGTGACCTTATGACACAGTACTGGCTTCTCCCAAAGTGAGTGAACCAAGGGAGGGTGAGTTAGAGCACCCAAGACAAATGCCACAGTTGTTTGTAAACTAATCATGAAAGTGACAACTTATTTCTTCCATATTCTATTCATGTGGAGCAAGTCAACAGGGGAGGAATTATACAAGATCATGAACACTGAGAAGGGAGAATCACTGGGGCAATCTTAGAGCCTACCACAGACACCTATTAGAACTTCCTTGTTTGGTCAGGCATGGTGGCCCATGCCTATACTCCCAACACTTTGGGAGGCCCAGGTGTGTGGATCTCTTGAGCCCAGAAGTTCGACACCAGCCTGGGCAACATGGCAAAAAAATACAAAAATAAGCCAGGCATGGTGGCACACACCTGTAGTTCCAGCTACTCAGGAGGCTGACGTGGGAGAATTTCTTGAGCCCTGGAGATGGAGCAAACTGAGATAGCACCACTGCACTCCAGCCTGGGTGACAGAGCGAGAACGAGACCCTTTAAAAAAAAATTACCCTGTTTATTTGCCTTGGTACTTTGAAAGTACAATTAACTTTTACTAAGCCACATGAATAAAAGGCAACTTAGATATGAATGATCTAACTTTATAAAAATTATATTTTCTTAGATCCAGTTAATGATACCAACAAATACATTCACAAAGAAGTTGCCTTTTAAGTTCACAAGGCCAGAGCAATTACCTCGTTTAGTTCAGTATGTGCAACCTGGAATTCAATTGATATCTAGTGAGAAAAAGGTCAAAGGTAATTTTCAAAGTAGAGCAACTAACTGTTTAAACCAATGGCATTATTTAGATCATCAGTGAAATTGCAAATCCAAAGTGTAAGTGCAGTCACATTATGCTGCCTTTCATGAAAAAAAAAATTGCTCTACATTTGCACTTGCTTCTTTTAGAACTGTGAATGGTTGCACTACTGCTAAATTCTTTATTTTACCTAAAAAAAAGAACAAACTTAGAAACACATACAAGCAGGACAATGAATCTGTTATGCCATATCTTTTTTTAAATGTCCTTCTATGGAATCAAGCCGGAAGGCTTTGTTGGCAAACACTGTGATTTTAAGATAATGACTATGATATAAATGTTTCCAAGTTTGAATGATACACAGGGTGTATGTGAGATAGCTGGGCACTGTTCTTTCATCAGATAAGTGACATTCAGCTTGCTCAGTAGTACATTCACATAAGACAGGCAATTCATCTTAAATTGAACTGAGTGCTAAAGTAGTTATGAATTGCTTTAGCTCTCCAAACTACAGAGTATAGATCACATCTCGTATGAGCTCTAGTGAACAAATATTAAGGGTTCTTAGATGTCATATATGTTTTATATCTTTACAGTGTCCCTACTTCTGTATCAATGGAGAGAAAATATGTATGAGTTATTGCCAAAATGTGTGAATATAGAGAAGGAATCCAGAAATTTTTAAAAAACTGTATTAAATTATGTGTGTGAATAAAATTCAATTTCAATACCAGATGGCATCACATAATGACAAGGTAATTTTGCTTATATATATATTTTTTTATTTTTTAGAAACAGGTTCTTGCTTTGTCACCCAGCAGTGGCATGATCATAGCTCACTGCAGCCTGGAACTTCTGGGCTCTGGCAATTCTCCTGCCTCAGCCTCCTGAGTAGTTGAGACTATAGGTCCACATTCACCAGGCCTGGCCAATGATTTGTGACATATTCTTTGTATATTCACTAAATATAAATAATATATTAAAATGAAATAGATTGATCGCTTTCTGGGTGAGCATTCAGATATTTTACTTCTCTTTATTTAGTTGCACCTGGTGTTACTTAGTAGGCGTGATCCTCAAGAATTCAGTTGTAAATAAAATTTCTGCATAAAGAACGTTATATATGAACTTGGGAAATTATGTGGACACAACTTTCAGGAAGTTATTTTCACACATAGAAAATATTTTCATCTGCACTAGGAAGACTCATCTGCTATGTTCAAATATAAGTAGGCTGGTTGATAGGCACTGATTGCTTTGTCTAGATTTTGGCATATGACAAGTCCCCAAATTTCTAAAAATTTATGCTCTAAAATTTCCTCTCTAGGTTACTTAATTACAGACACACACACAGACACATACACACACACACATTTTCCCTTTTTTTTCCTACAATGCCTTTAATGTTCCTGCTAACCTCTTTGGTGTCAACCACCAACCCTCAGAGGAACCCATACAGCTGACAGTCATAAATTTCTTAAAAATTCTCAAACAGGTCATGCTTACCTCCATATATCCATCTTTCTGCTCAGGATAGCCTTCTCCTATTCAGTAACATATGACTCATTCTGCAAAATTCAACTCACAATATTATCCTCTCTTGGTCTAAATTAGATGTCTGACTCTTGTATCTAGGTAAAAATCTATTATAAGCCTTATCAATGTATCAGTCTGGCCTATCATTGTATATTTTCTTTGTTTATTTTTTTCTCTTCTGCTCCACTTTTCACTAGTCTGCAGTTTCCTGAAACAAAGAAACCATAGCTTAATTGACTTTGCAACCCTGTCTATAGTGGAGTGACTGACAAAGAGTAAGCATTAAAAAAAATTATATGAGACGAAAAATGGAAAACAGGATCACTCTCCTTCAAATCTCTATCCCAAATACTAACAGAGAAGAGTACGATGCAATCCTAAATAGGTTTTTATGTTATTTCTTAATTGTCAAAGATCTGGAGGGAGCTTTGGGTAAAATACCTGTTTATCAAATGTTCAATAGGTCAAGAAATGTTTAAAGAAAATCCATATTAGGATGCTCCCCAAGGAGGCAGAAAAGAAATTTATCTTTCACTCTGTTTAAAATCTGCATATATATGCATCGTTAATAAGTGCATTAGGATTTTATGCAGTAATTCAGAATCCTTTAAGGAGATCAAAGCCCATTTAAGAAGCCATTTTTGTGAAAAACAGGTTTCCCAAAGGCCTTGTACAGCTTGTTAAATGTTATTCCAATTCAAGTTTGATAATAGAAACTCCTCTAAGGACATAGCAGAGAGTTAATTAAGTGAGTTAGCGACCTATTTGCTAAGAATTATGTTCCTGATTGGAAGGAAACTTGGATGGAGGCATTTTACAGAGACTTGCAGACACACAAGGTTGTCATGATTTTTTTTCTCTACTTTTCATTGGGGAAAAGAAATGAGCATAGGCCACAAAAGGAGAATGACAATAGTGAGAGACCTCATAGAATAAAGAAATATTATTTTGAATTAGTTTTTCAAGTGGTGAGAAATATATATTGTTTAACAGTAAAATACCATTAAAGTGTTTGGAAGGGACACAAGCCAGCGGTAAAAAGAGCATGAACTGCTACCAATATCTAAGTTAGATGTGACTTTTTTAGGAAATCATGGGTTGGGAGCTTTCAACTAATTCTCTAGTTGAGAAAAATAAAGTTTTTAAAACTTAGAATAAATTAAATACAATTTTCTTCATTAGTCTTTAAAATGTCCTATATCTTATAATTGCCTGAGTTGCAAAAGCCAATATTACAATTGATATTTTAAGATTCATATATTTACTTCAATTTTTCAGTTCTTACAGAGAAAACATTATGACTGATATTCTGCTCTTCTTTCTGTTTAAATAAGGTTTGCCATTATGATCCATGCAGCCTATACTCCAAAAACCACCATTATTGGGTGACAATTGATGTCTCTGTAGGTATAAAACACCTAAGAAAAATTAATCAGTATTATTTGTGCATTCCATAAATTCAGTCTTATTATTGAAGACGATGTTTATATTTAAAGACCAAGCATTGATTTTTCTGTATAGCAGATGAATGGCTTCATGGATTATAGTTCTACTTATACTCTATCAGTCAAAACTAATTCTGTTAAAAACAAACAAATAAAACACATTCTGTTTGGTGGTATCATCTCCTGAAGTACTTCTCTTTTTTTTATTAAATAATCATGTGTTAAGTGCAAGCTTGCTCTCATTGATTTTTACAATCTACCTCGAAGGGAAGACTTGGCACAAGTTCTAGAAGTATATTGGGTGTTCAGAAAAAGAGGATGAAGTGGTAGGAGAAACACATTACAGGAGAACACAACCTGGTGAGTCAATATAACTTAGTGAACTGTTGAAATATCTGTTTTTCCTGATATGTTTTCCTTCTTTCCTCTCATTTTAAGCAAGGAATTAGGTTTAATTGAAATAATCAATGTGAAATTAGAAGCTCTTTATAAAATCATAAACATTTTAAAAGCTAATGCAGAGGACACCGGAAAGTTATAAGAAAACATTTGAGAAATGGATGACCAGGAAATGAGGAAAAATTCCTAAAGTAGATAGGAGAAGAAGTGTATTGGTTCAATGAATGAAGGAGACCTAGTGCTTGTTCCTGGCATCATCTGGGGAGAGGGCAAAGACTCAGTGAGGAAGAGCTACCTTGTTCACTCTTGACTTAATGAGCTAGATCCTAGGCAGAGGAGTTTCTAGTTCTTCCCAAAGTGCTTACATCTCTAGCACGGCATGAAATGGGCAGAACTGTGGGACATAAACGGGCAGAGCCATGGGACTTAAATGGTTGATGTGCTCTGTGAACTGATTACCAACATCTCGATGGGACTTTCCAATGGATACATTGTTTGTAAAATATCAAGACACTGACAAAACTCTGTGGTTGAGATAACTCACAAATAACTGAAGTTATACTTCCTACCATCACTAAAGGATGAGTACTTGGAGTTAAAATTCAATTGAAAGAACATTGAAACAATTTTAATATTGTTTTTCAGTGCATCTGTTTGCTTCACTGGCTCCTAAAAATAGTGGAATCTGCAGGAAGCACCAGGGACAAATGGCTCTCCTCCCAAATCTTCCAGGCTGTGTAAGATTAGTAGTCTACTGCTTGACCTCTCTCCACCCATGAGTCCTCCATGATTTAAGGTACTCAATAGGTGGAACTAAGCCCCTTTCTCTGGTAGTGGGTTCCCTAGCTTGTATTATGAAAATATGCAAATTCACAAGGAAAATTATGACAATTCTCACTATAGAGAGTTGTTTTGGTTGGTAGTACAAGAAATGATGACAGAAATCAGCTGCTGCTTTAATGTCTTCTCTTGGTGTAAGCCATCTCTTCTCACTTTGACCATTTACAGCAGTCTGTTTCTTGCCTCCTTGAGGTTCTGATCACTGCTCATATTCCTTGGCTCCTCACTGCATCACTCAATCTCTGCTTCCATTGTCACACTGTCTCCTCTTCTGCTGCCTCTGTCAAATCTCTCTCTGTCTCTCTCTTACTTGTGGTTGCATTTAGGACCCACCCACATACACTGGGATAATCTCCCCATCTCAAGATATTTAATTTGGTCACATCTGCAAAGAATCCCTTTTTCAAGTAAGGTAACATACACAGGCTCCCGGATTAAGGCATGATAATTTGGGAGAACCATTTTCAGCCCACTACATGTATTTTTTCATATCAAACAAAAATTGGTATGGTTATTTTTGTGTGAAATAACAAAAAGGATTTGGGGCTTTTATCTAAGTGCTATTATTAGAAGCCATAAACAGTTTACAGAGGTGATGCATAATCAAAGTTTTATTTGTAAGTGATAACTATGGCTACGCTGTAGAGAACTGTTTTGGTTGGTAGTGCAAGAGATGATACTAAGAAGACAGAGAGAAGGCAGTCCTGGATGTGCAAAAATAGTGATTCAACTAAGGAGAACCAACAAGTAACACATATAACTTAAGTTTGTCTCTGTATTAGTTTGTCCTCATGCTGCTGATAAAGACATACCCAAGACTGAGTAATTTATAAACAGGTTTAATTGACTCACAATTCAGCAGGGCTGGGAAGCCTCAGAAAACTTATGATCATGGTGAAAGGGGAAGCAAACACGTACTTCTTCACATGGCAGCAGCAAGGAGAAGTGTCAAATAGAAGGGAGAAAAGCCCCTTATAAAACCATCAGTCTCATGAGAACTCACTTACTATCACAAGAACAGCATGGAGGTAACCACCCCTATGATTCAATTACCTCCTGTCGGGTCCTTCCCACGACATGTGTGGATTATGGGAACTACAATTCAAGACAACATTTGGGTAGGGACACAGCCAAATCATATCAGTCTTCTAAAATGTTAAAGCTTTTCATATGTTGGTAGTTTCTGAAATTACTTTCTTTATATGTTTTTATATTTCCTTAACCTTTTAAAATAATCAGATGATCATAATTTGACCTTTCTTGATTATTCTCAAGTTAATTTGTCAGCCTCCTTAAGAAATGGCTACAGAAATCAGCTGATGCTCTTGGTGTGAGCCATCTCTTCTCACTTTGGCCATTTGCAACACTTTGAAATTCACTTCATCTCAAATCTGCTATTCTTACAACGATCCAGAAGGAAAAAGAGTCCATTCACCATTTAAATTCAGTTATTTAATGAACGCCTAACCCAAAGCACTGCCTTTAGGGAAGCTTTGTGTCAGATTATTTTCCAATTCAATCCCAATTTGGGGTAATGTTTATAGATATGAACTCCTAAAAATTACACTTACTCAGATCCAACAGACTAAATCAGTGCATTGCTGTGTTACCATTTGAAATTAATATATTGCCGACACTGGCATATGGATAGTTGAATAAATAATCGAATTTATACATATCCATCCTATAACTCGGAGGCCAAATGACTAGGACAAGTGGGAGCAAACCTGTATTTTATTTACTGAACAATACTTCATCTAGTCACAAAACTTTACTTCTGTATTAATGGTTAAAAGCTGTATTTTCCCTATTCATTCATGTATTTATTTGCTAAGGAAGACTTAAAGAACACCTGTTTAAATTCCAAGCAGTGTGATCAGATGAAGACACAAAGATAAATAAGATAATATTGTTGGTCTCATTGTGTTTTTAGTACTTTTGCAGTCAGTGTGAGCACAATTAGACTATTTCTATCATAAATAAATCCAAAAAGTACCATACAAGTGTGAGGGTAGGGAGTCTAATAGAGAATCAAACCATAGTTAGTAACGACAGCATCATCTACCGTTTATTCAGCATCTATCAGTGACTGTTAAGGGATTTATATGTGGCATTTTAATTTAATTTTAGAGAGCCCTGTAAATTTATTTGGTATTGTCATTTCAAATATTCACATTTATCCAGCTAATTTTTATTTTTCCTTCAAGTCTCAGCTTAAATACCACTTTTCTCAGGAGGGCTTTCTGATTCTGAGAATAGATTAAGTATAACTTACTCTTTATTCCTGCAGTTCTCTATTACTTCTCTATTACCACACTATGAGTATTTGTTTGCTCCCTGTATATGCCAAAAAACAGAAAGCTTCATGCATACAGAGACTTTGTTGGCCGTATTTGTTTTTGTAACCTCAGCATCAAACTAACTCATAAGTGAGAGATTACATAAATTAAAAAACTTACCTGTAGTCCCATAACAAGAAACAGAGCATAGATTCAACTTAGATCTATTTCTAAAACCTGTATTTTTAATCACTAGACTATTTGGTTCCTTAATGATATAGAACATTTCTATTTGTTTAAACTGAGTATTTTTCATACATTGAAAGTCTGAAATTTTTTACTAGTATTATTATCATAAACTAATTAATAACAGCTTATTCAAAATGATTGTTCTATGTCCTAATAAATTATAAATAGTATTATTGGATTTACTTTTTGTTATTTGTTCAAATATTAATAAGGAACAATATTTTTACAATTATGATATTAAGTGCTGTAAAAGATCTAAAATGACAAGATAAAATTAACATTACTGAAGAAGACTTCAGATTTTATATGACAGGAAAATACAAATTAGCTCATATCTGCTTCTGCTAGATGTTAACTGTAAGATATTAATAGTGTCATTAATTCAAACATTAAAAAAGAATAAAATTATGTACAGTCAGCATTCATATAATACATGAACAGAACTTGACAGTATTTTAAAAATAATTTACTGGTTGAATTCACAGTTACTTTTCAACCCGAAATGGCACATATTACTTTATTTACTAATATATTCATTATATATCCTTCATTTCTTATTTTAAATAGGCAATAATTATTGCTTACAAGACTGTTTTAACTTGGTATATTTTCTTCATAGTGAAACTAAAAAATTCCTAAAGAAATCCATAAAGCTTCTTAGTGAAATATTTATACTTCATTTATAATATTTTACAATATTAAAATGTAATAATTTTAAAGAAAATATTCATATTAAGTAGTTTTATACAGCTGTTTTAACTATATGTATACAATTTTCTGTAAGTCAAATTCTAACATTTTGTAAATTTTTTGAAATTAATAATTTTGCTCTTGATTTGGTCATTTTTAAAAAGTACATCTCTGTGGTATATATGTGGTGAAGACGAAAGAAATTATCAGAAAGAATTAAATCAATTTTGTGTATACATATTTCAGTATCAGATCGTGAAAACCACAGTGGGATACTACAAGGGACAAACAATTTTCTAGTTCTTCGTGAGTTCTTCACTGGAGTTGCCTTGCACTAGCTTACAAGAGCTGATTGGGCTCATCTTTTCCCAACTCCAAGTTCAGAGACACGACTTGGTAGCTTGAAATTGGCCATGGTGCAACAATAACAACATAGAAATTTACAAAGTCTACAAATCATTTTGTTTGTTTGTTTCCTTTGCAAAGATTTACTATTAAATGTTTACCAGCACAATTCTGGTTCTGACTATTTTGCTTCTGAGACTATTTCATCTCCTTCTTAATCCCGTTTTATTTATAAAATTAAGTCACTTTTACTGAGGTAGCATTTTGTCCTATTCCCAATATCTTTAAAGAACTCAATTTTCTAGTTATCCTCTCCATTTGGTGAGATTTATTGAAAAATCAGATTCAGAGATAAATAAAACGTCATTCTTGCCTTCAGATTAATTACAGTCTATTAGAGAAACACATAAGAAATCATTCCAATGCTGTGTCATAATTGAGCTTATTTGGAGGGTTACAGAGGATTAACATAAAAGAAAGATATCTACTACTTGGGAGGAAGCGTTGGTGTCTAGAAATACGGCTAAGAGAATTTAATAATGGATCTTCGAATTTAGGATGACTAAAGGTCATATGGATGGCTTAGAAGGAGGTGCAAGATGTTCCAGTAAGAAGACAAAAGGGAGGTTTAGAGAAAACAGACTGGAAGGAGTGTATAGGGTGTTACTAAAAGAACATAACAGAATGGGAAAAATTCAAATACAATAGCATGAAATATTATTAAATCCCTTCTCCCCTTAGACAGATTATCCCCTTTAGCCATCACCATGAGATATACAAACTTCTGTCAGTTTGCTATTTTAACCATCCTACTACACTATTTTTGTGTTATTTTTCTATTCAACATACTATATTTTAATATCCTCAAGAACAGTAGCTATATCTTTCTCATTTTATCATTCTTTGCAGAATCACACACAATAGCCTATGGTTAGAGGGACTGGGTATATATCTGTTGATCTGAACATAATTATATAACATCATTGAGTGCATGTTGGAAAAAACACTTAAAAATAACACCTGATTTGGCATCATAGTAACACTAATTTCTTATTTCAGAAATAATAAAATTAAGTATGAGATGAACAGTAAATTTCAAAACTGCTATCTGAATTATATTTAAGAAATTTAATCTGCTTGTCTTTTTTTCCCAAAGAAATGATCACCTATCATGTATTTATGTATTTGGATATTTATATATATTGAATCATAAACATTTTATTTTTCCCCAAATATATGTCTTAAGTTTTTTATTCAAAAAAACTGTTTTAAATTACTGTTATTTCCCCCATTAGCAATATCAAAGATAAAAGACACACATTAATTTCACATCTCTATTATTTTTAATACAAAAATATAATTCAGTTATTTTCTTCTTAATAGGAGCATAGGGTCTGGTTCTTGATGTAAGAAACAAGGACTACACACCTGTAATCCCAGCACTTTGGGAGGCCGACGCAGGCGGATCACCTGGGGTCAGGGTTCGAGCCCAGCCTGGCCAACGTGGAGAAACCCAGTCTCTACTAAAAATACAAAGTTAGCCAGGTGTGGTGGCGCATGCCTAAAATCCCAGCTACTCGGGAGGCTGAGGCAGGAGAATCGCTTGAACTTGGGAGGTGGAGGTTGAGTTGAGCAAAGATTGCACCATTGCACTCCAGCCTGGGCAACAAGAGTGAAACTCCATCTCAAAAGAAAAAAAAAAAAAAAAAGAAAAGGAAACAAGGACTATTGTACAGCTGGTTGTCTTCAGTCCCCACTTTGAGCTTTGCCTACTTTACATTTTTACATCATCCATTAAATCACATTTAAATGTAAAAGTAAATATTGAGATTTAAAAGAAAAAAACTCCACAGTCTCTTTGATGTGCTCCTTGGCTTACTTCCCTACTGTTAAAACTGAGTTTGAAGCACCAGCAGCTAGTCTCTTGTTTGTTCCTGGATTCTACCTTGCAGCTAGCTCCCTGATTAGGAACTTGATGTGGACTCTTCAGCCATTTCTGGCACTTGTCTGCTTCCTTGGTTGAATGGATTAAGTGCCCATGATTCTGGAGCACTACGTAGAACCAGGGTCTCATTACCTTGTTAAATAAACTTTATAGGAGGCCATTGCTTTGGACTAAGCTCCTGTACAAGGCCCAATAGACCAAACCAAAATGAAGTCACTCATGCTAAAGTTCCATGACACCAACCTGAAATTAAGTTGTTTATCTGACCTTATAAATCAGAAGATTGAGAGATATAATAGCCAAATCCCAAGCAAGCCAGTTTTAACCTGAATGATACGGGAGTTCCATCTGCTTTAACCTTTAAAAGGACAGTAACTTTGAAACAGCCAATCTGCTTTTTGGTTTCTGTTTCTGCTTTCCCTTTGCTGTCTATACAACCAAACTCCTTTTCTCAGCTAATTGGAACACCTACTCTATTTTATAGAATGGGGTTTTGCCTCATTCCAGAATCATAAACAAAAGCCAATGAAGATCTCTAAACTGAATTTGTTCTAACTTTGTCATTTGCGAATCTCTTATCCAATTCCATTTCAAAAGTGAGACAAATAAAAAGAAACCATGATAAATGTTCTTATATAAAGGAAAATAATTTTTTATGATGAGGGAGCAAAGAAAAGTTACTTCCAAATTAATTAAAGTTCTAATCTAGGTTAAATCTAAGTTTTCATAAATTTATTTTTAGTTTAATATATTCATATCAGTGGAATAAAGTACACATAAGCCTCCTCTGTGTTCCTTATCTCATTATTTTAACCTAACATTCTGCTATACTTTCAAGAAGTACTTCATGAAACTTAAGAAATACTTTGTTCAATAAGTACTTAATAAAAATCTAAAATATGCAAGGCACTTAGCTAGATATTTTAGAAGATGCAGTAAAGTATATGTATACGGTTCTTGTCTCCTGGTAATTCACAATTTGTCATAACAAGAACTAGGAATATAATTTTTATATCTTGCCAAGTCTTCTAAAAAATTGTAAGAGAATTGATAGGTGTGTGTCACAAATATATCAAAATTAAAATTAGAGGCTATTTGGCATATGACACAAGGCTGTCAGTAATAATCAGACATATTATATATTGTCATAAAACACAAATCTATAGTGAGCTTAGAAACTAAGACACCGAAGAAAGACTTTCTTACTGGCTAACTTCAATTTAAAAACTTAAATAGGCTATTTTGATTTTTAGGAATGATTCCTCAAGAAACATTCCTAAAAATGTTGAAAAGTTGTTTGTATTATTTTTGCATTAAGAGTTGAATATGGAGAGGAAAGTTATGTTTATGAAACTTACTACAAAGTTATACAAACCATAGAGATGATATTTAGAATTTGGAAAGAGAGTAAACAATTTTCTATTAAATGTTTTCTTACATGCTTTATTTTACTTATTAATTTGTTTTTTTGAGACAGAGTCTCGCTCTGTCACCCAGGCTGGAGTGCAGTAGAACGATCTCAGCTCACTGCAATCTCTGTCTCCCGGATTCAAGCAATTCTCCTGCTTCAGCCTCCTGAGAAGCTGGGATTACAGGTGCCTGCCACCACGCCTGGCTAGCGTTTTATATTTTTAGTACAGAAAAGGTTTCACCATGTTCACCAGGCTGGTCTCAAACTTCTGACTTCAACTGATCCACCCCCTCTTGGCCTCCCAAAGTGCTGGGATTACAGGCCTGAGCGACTGTGGCTGGCCTTCTTATGCATTTTAAAAGCTAGGTTTTTAGGTAAAATGAAAACATGTTTTGAGTAAAACAGGAAATATACTTTAGAAGTGTAAATTCCTTATTGCATATAATTTAGCTGAAGGAGCAAGGATCATTAGATATTTCCCTGTGCTTAACTTCATAAGGTAACTAATGTCCTTTCATTCACAAATTCCTTCAGAAGTTTCAAGTTTTTGTTTATTTAATACAAATCACAGTATACAGTGTTTTGCATTGATAATACTTCTCTTTCAAATCCACTGATAACTCAATTGGGTTTTCATTCAAAGTTAAGTATGCAATTTGTCCATTTGTTATCTAAAAATACAGTATTAAGCAGAATACGTTCATTTTTCTTGTTTTTAAAATATCTGTAGAAGTGCAGAGGACACAAGAGACAAGGCTTCTTCAGCATTTTATCATCTGCCAGAATAAAGTGCTAATGAAACAAGCTAATGGGTTTGAGTCATTTAAATCCAAATTTAGCAAGTATTTACTGACTAACTATTGGTTAAAAGACACTGCTAGATGGGATGGCAGGTACAGAGAGATGAGAATAATGTGATGTATGAGAGTGGGAGCTGTAATGGAAATATGGGAAAATAAACTTATGCCAATAACTATAGCAACAGTAGAATAAGTTCCACAAAAAACACATATATCTGGCACTGACTCTTACTTGTTTATCAATATGCACCCCCTCTTGTTCCTCAGTTATACCATCCTGATGTTATTTGGAGTAGCAAAGTATCCAATTAACACACTATATTTTCTAGGCTTATTTGCAGTGAAGTTTGGCCAGTGTGACATAAGCAAACGTGTTATGTGGGGTTTCCAGAGTAGCTCCTTATATGAAGCTAACTCAGCTAGCAAGTATGGTTTTTTTCTCCTTCCCCATTTCCTCCCAACTACTATCTGGAACACTGATGTGATGGCAGGAACTCCAATAGCTGTATTAGATTATAATGGGGTCTTTAATTCAGAAGCTGGAGATGAGGAAAGGGGAGCAGAATGTTAATAGGACTCAGGGTCCCAGACAACTTCCAGGAGCAGCCCTATGCTCTCCAGACTGCCTACCTTCAGACCAAGTTTTATGTGTAAGATTAAATTCAATAGGGTTTAAGATACTGTTATTTTCTGTTTTTGTTTTCTTTGTCTTATTTTTGCAGCTGAATGCTATTTCTACTAAAACAAAGTACTAAAAATGCTAGCAAAATGTTCAAGTCAGAAAAAAGATTTGATGTAGTTAAGGGAAGAAATGGGTATATACAAGAGGACACTGTTTCCGAGGTGAGTGACACTGTAACCTCACTGTAATGGGTTGCATTAAGGTACAATTCAAGATTCTTTTTTCTGAACCAGGTTGTATCTTGAATGACACAAAATTGTCTGGCTAATTATATGCAACCTGTGTAAACTGGATGAAGACAGGGACTAGATCAGAATAAATCCATTACCAACCAAAGGATGTTTTGACCAGATAACTGAGTATCATCACAGAATAGCATATTTTCATTTTTATTAATATACTCCTAATAAATCCCCACCTCTCTGCATAGATATATATGCTCACACATACACACTCAGGTAAATTAGTAGATTATATATACATAAACGTATATGTTAAAATAAAATACAACATGAAATAATTTTTTTAGCAAAAATATTTATTAAACAGGTTTTCTGTGCCAGTCATTGCTGCATGAGCTAAAGATACATTGATGAATAAGTCCCTGCCCATGCTAAGCTTCCATTTTACTGAGCAAAACTGATTTTAAACACATGCATACAATGTAATGTCAGGTCACAAGGGGTTTGTGCTATGAAAAATAATAAGTGCCATGAAGAAAAACAAAACAGAAAATGAACCTGAATATGGCAGCTATTTTAGAAGGGCAGTTAGGGAAGTCTCCTTTGATTAGCTGATATGATTTCAAATTCTTAAATACAGTGATAGAATGAGCTATATGGTAATGTGAAGACAGGATGATACAGACGGAAGAAAACATTAGTATGACTATCCTGATGAAGGAGAGAACTTACTATGTTTGAGGAACAACATGAAGGCCAGCATTGCCAGATCTAGAAAAGACTTGCAAGATAAATCAGAGATGAGATTGGAAAAGCTGCCATGGGGTAGAACATGTAAGGCCTTAGAAAGCAGTTTCACTTTAATCTTGCGTTTGATATGAAGGCACTGGAGTGTTTTAAGCAAGGGAATGACACAATCCAATTTATTTTTTTAAAAGATCACTCTGGCTCCCATGTGGGAAATGGAATTACAGGGGAGACAAGAGTGGGAACAAAGAAACCACTGCAGTAGTCTAGGTGAGAAATGATACTGATAATAGTGTACGTGGAAGAAACAGACAGATTTGGAATATATTTATATATTCTCAACACAGAGCTCACAGAATTGCTCACAGAATGGGTGTGAGAAAGAGTATGAAAAATCAAGTATGAATTTCTATTCTTTTTCCTCTCTCTCTCTTATTTTTGGCTTGAGCAACTGAAGGAAACCAAAATGTCACCCCAAAATTGCCTCTTTGACATAAAATTTATTTTTACCTGAAGGACATTAAAGGAGAAGCAAATGAGGGGAAAGCTCTCCATACCTTCTGTTTGTTTCTGCCTAAAGGCAGGATATGCATTCTCCTTCACCAGAGACAATTCTGATGCTTATCAGCTTAGAGAGGCAACAGGGGAATCTACAAAGGATCCTTACACCATTAGTTTTCTCCTAAAACTAAAACCTCTTTCCTCTGTTCTGTAATTTCTCTATAAATTTACTGTTCTTTGTTGAAGATGCTATATAAGCCAGAAGTTCTAAGCCACTGCTTTGTTGAGGTTTCTCTCACATCATGTGCAGTGCACATGTTAATACACTATGTTTCTCTTGTTAATCTGCCTTTTGGTCCAACTAAGAACTTATAATTGAGGAAAAAATTATTTTTCATTTTTATATGATGAAATGGTAAATGAAAATATTTATTGAGATTGGAAAAGGGATTTGGAGACTTGGATAGAAATAAACTTAAAATAGCAAAGTAGGTATTATGGGATGAGAATCAAATGTTTTGAATGGTTTTTATCAATTTGGAGATTCCTGGTAGCCATCCATGTGGAAATACTGAGTAGGCAATTGAATATATGAATCTGAAACTTAGAGAAACCTGAGATGGAGATAAATAATTGAAAGGCATCTGTCAATAGATGGCATGAAATCACCCAGGAAATGAGTATATCTGGAGAAGAGGCTGTAGGGGGAAGATGTGAGATGAAGGGAAATACAAATTTACACATTGGTTCACATCACTCCAGATCAAACTCGAACGCTTTCACCTCCCAGGAAGAAAACTGCCCCCACTATTTGGAAAATGACAAACTGAAAATTAGAGCACCAAAATTTGTAATAATAAAATTGTAAATATTACCTACATAGCTGATTCAAATGTAGGTTATTACATGACTCAGGCCCAAATTACCTAAGCCCTTGGAAGTAACCTAGAAAGACTCCCCTCCTGTGAATTCAAAATACAGTGTTTCTTATATGCCAAGGCAAAATATGTAATGAATTATTCCACACAAACAGAAAGGTTCCCTGCAATTGTAAAAGAACTATATATATTCTATTAGAGAAGTAGCATAGCATAGTACTTACAGGCATGAGTTTTGAAATCATTTTGGTTCTGCCATTTATTGGAGGCATATCAGAGGTATTAAAGTATTTGAGTCTGTTTCTCCTCATAGGAAATGAGGTTGAAAATGCCTAGCTTAACTCATGGAGTCGCTGTAAAGTTTTCCTCAGAAAAGCATATGTAAAACAAATTAAAATGTGTCTAGCGCATTGGAAGTGCTCAATAAATTAAAGCTTGTAATATAGCTACCTTTTAGATAAACCACATGTTCAAGGGCACTTTGTGGCTTAGCAGGGACAACATTCTAAACAAATAATTTTTTGAGCAAATATTTGGAACATGGTCCATTCTAAAATTATACCTAAATATATTAGAAATTTTAATAGACTTATAACTTAAAAGGTTTTAAAACAAATCTTATATCCTATACTTTTTAATTTTTAAAAAGTCTGCTAGGTTATCAATATCTTATATGCTAAGTCTAAAATATAAACACAGATGTAAAATAATGCTTTGTTGTTAAGAAAAAGGAACACATAGCTTAAAATGAATTCTATGATAATAAAAGAATAAACTTCCATTTGGAAAACAGATTTCTCAAAATGAATATGTTATGTAACAACGTCAACACCAAGCAAACAATAGAAAATAATATCATAAGTCAATAATCCAATAAGACAAATTCAAATGCTTTAACAACTATTTAACATCCTATTAACTACAATTAATCTTTGTAAATATTTTTCATTGGTTTCTTAAATCACTATTTATATTGATGTTTCTGTGTACTTTTTTTCCCTCAAGGAGCTCTTGAGAAGAATGTAAACACCATATGTTACACAGTGTTAGGACAAAATTATAATTACTTACTCAAATCAACAGGTAATTTAAATCTGAATAAGAACAAAGATACTTTAGAGGCAGCTGTTACCACTTACGCTGTTTTTACCACATAAAAATGTATTAATTTATGTAGCACATAACCTAATTACTCAACATGAACACATTGAAAAGCTAAATTTTGTGTATATTAACAAATCTCATCCTGTATTTTTTGACTAAAGCTTTAAAACAAACTCATAAGACTGTGGAGCAATGTTATTAAACCATGGGGCTTATGGCAATGTCTTACTTTTTTATATGTGTAGTTTATATTTGGCTGAAGGAGAAAATTTTAGAATATGTGAATCTTTACATATCTGAGTTTATGCACCAATTTTTGCAAAACTTCACTGAACCTTTCGTTAAATCTTTTCATGAAATAAATTAAGCAGAGTTAAAAAAAGTTATTTTCAGCATAATATAGAAATGATTACTAATAAAGGTCTGATATTTTCATAATAGACAGGGTTTAATTAAGATATATTTCAAAGAAAAGATAATTCCAATTTATTTAATCAGATCTCTTCTTAAACACTTAATGACTAGTGTCTATGTAACAAGAAAATTAAAAAGTTAAATGAAAATTCATAATGCTAACTGCAATTTGGTCCTTTCTACAAAGATACAGACACCATTTACCAATATTCATATAAAATTGAATGTATACTGTTTACTATGTTTTATGATCATGTGTACAGTATTCAGCTTGGTTTTGGCATAGAATTGTTCTTCAAAATTCTTTAAAAATGAACATTAATACTAAATATCTCTATATCGGCAGAAAGTATAAAGAGAGGAGCATTTTAAGATAAGTTCACTGTAAAATTTGAGCACTTTGAGAGCTGGCAGCAGCTGAAGAAAAAATAAACGCATACACTGGAAAGCAAATAGTCTCAAGAAATCTGAAACCTGAGCCAGCAGTGTACCTCCTTGCCCTCAAACAACCCCACATTTACTCTGGGACCTTAGAAAAGCTGTGCACCTAACAAAGTGGGAGTAAAGATGGGGCTGGCAACTAGAGGGTTAGCTAAAAGTACTCCATGCACCCAAGCAACTTCTCCTTCCGTCCCTAGCAGACTAGGAGTTTATTCTCTACAGAAAGACAAATGGGATCTAATTAAACTAAAGAGCTTCTGCACAGCAAAAGAAACTACCATCAGAGCGAACAGGCAACCCACAAAATGGGAGAAAATTTTCGCAACCTACTCATCTGACAAAGGGCTAATATCCAGAATCTACAACGAACTCAACCAAATTTACAAGAAAAAAACAAACAACCCCATCAAAAAGTGGGCGAAGGACATGAACAGACACTTCTCAAAAGAAGACATTTATGCAGCCAAAAAACACATGAAAAAATGCTCACCATCACTGGCCATCAGAGAAATACAAATCAACACCACAATGAGATATCATCTCACACCAGTTAGAATGGCAATCATTAAAAAGTCAGGAAACAACAGGTGCTGGAGAGGATGTCGAGAAATAGGAACACTTTTACACTGTTGGTGGGACTGTAAACTAGTTCAACCATTGTGGAAGTCAGTGTGGCGATTCCTCAGGGATCTAGAACTAGAAATACCATTTGACCCAGCCATCCCATTACTGGGTATATACCCAAAGGACTGTAAATCATGCTGCTATAAAGACACATGCACACGTATGTTTACTGTGGCACTATTCACAATAGCAAAGACTTGGAACCAACCCAAATGTCCAACAATGATAGACTGGATTAACAAAATGTGGGGTAGGAAGAATCAATATCGTGAAAATGGCCATACTGCCCAAGGTAATTTACAGATTCAATGTCATCCCCATCAAGCTACCAATGACTTTGTTCACAGAATTGGAAAAAACTACTTTAAAGTTCATATGGAACCAAAAAAGAGCCCGCATAGCCAAGTCAATCCTAAGCCAAAAGAACAAAGCTAGAGGCATCACGCTACCTGACTTCAGACTATACTACAAGGCTACAGTAACCAAAACAGCATGGTACTGGTACCAAAACAGAGATATAGATCAATGGAACAGAACAGAGCCCTCAGAAATAACGCCGCATATCTACAACTATCTGATCTTTGACAAACCTGAGAAAAACAAGCAATGGGGAAAGGATTTCCTATTTAATAAATGGTGCTGGGAAAACTGGCTAGCCACATGTAGAAAGCTGAAACTGGATCCCTTCCTTACACCTTATACAAAAATCAATTCAAGATGGATTAAAGACTTAAACGTTAGACCTAAAACCATAAAAACCCTAGAAGAAAACCTAGGCATTACCATTCAGGACATAGGCATGCGCAAGGACTTCATGTCTAAAACACCAAAAGCAACGGCAACAAAAGCCAAAATTGACAAATGGGATCTAATTAAACTAAAGAGCTTCTGCACAGCAAAAGAAACTACCATCAGAGTGAACAGGCAACCTACAAAATGGGAGAAAATTTTCGCAACCTACTCATCTGACAAAGGGCTAATATCCAGAATCTACAATTAACTTAAACAAATTTACAAGAAAAAAACAAACAACCCCATAAAAAAGTGGGCAAAGGACATGAACAGACACTTCTCAAAAGAAGACATTTATGCAGCCAAAAAACACATGAAAAAATGCTCATCATCACTGGCCATCAGAGAAATGCACATCAAAACCACAATGAGATACCATCTCACACCAGTTAGAATGGCAATCATTAAAAAGTCAGGAAACAACAGGTGCTGGAGAGGATGTGGAGAAATAGGAACACTTTTACACTGTTGGTGGGACTGTAAACTAGTTCAACCATTGTGGAAGTCAGTGTGGCGATTCCTCAGGGATCTAGAACTGGAAATACCATTTGACTCAGCCATCCCATTACTGGGTATATACCCAAAGGACTATAAATCGTGCTGCTATAAAGACACATGCACACGTATGTTTATTGTGGCATTATTCACAATAGCAAAGACTTGGAACCAACCCAAATGTCCAACAATGATAGACTGGATTAAGAAAATGTGGCACATATACGCCATGGAATACTATGCAGCCATAAAAAATGATGAGTTCATGTCCTTTGTAGGGACATGGATGAAACTGGAAATCATCATTCTCAGTAAACTATTGCAAGAACAAAAAACCCAACACCGCATATTCTCACTCATAGGTGGGAATTGAACAATGAGATCACATGGACACAGGAAGGGGAATATCACACTCTGGGGACTATTGTGGGGTGGGGGGAGGGGGGAGGGATAGCATCGGGAGATATACCTAATGCTAGATGACGAGTTAGTGGGTGCAGCGCACCAGCATGGCACATGTATACATATGTAACTAACCTGCACAATGTGCACATGTACCCTAAAACTTAAAGTATAATAAAAAAAAAAGAAGAAAATGTGGCACATATACACCATGGAATACTATGCAGCCATAAAAAAATGATGAGTTCATGTCTTTGTAGGTACATGGATGAAATTGGAAATCATCATTCTCAGTAAACTACTGCAAGAACAAAAAACCAAACATGGCATATTCTCACTCATAGGTGGGAATTGAACAATGAGAACACATGGACACAGGAAGGGGAACATCACACTCTGGGGACTGTTGTGGAGTGGGGGGAGGGGGGAGGGATAGCACTGGGAGATATACCTAATGCTAGATGATGAGTTACTGGGTGCAGCGCACCAGCATGTCACATGTATACATATGTAACTAACCTGCACATCGTGCATATGTACCCTAAAACTTAAAGTATAATAATAAAATTTAAAAAAAGAAAAAAAAAAGAAAATTAGATAAGCTCCAAATTGAAGAAACATCAGGCAAAACCGAGAAAGAGAATATCCTACTGAAAACAGGTAGATTAAATTAAACTCTGCATACTAAACACTGAAAATTCCATAACCCCATCCCTTCCCCTCCACCTCTCTTTTTTTTTCTCTGCTCTCAGCCTAGCTCCGCAGTTTATCCCCTCCAGGCAGAAATCTTGTCTGGTATTTTGTTGCTATAGTTTGCTGACTTTCCAAGAAATTTTGATTTGCTGACCTCCAAGAAATTTTGTAAGCTATCAAATATTCTATAATAAAATCCTTTCTGTTTAAACTAAGTCAAATTATTTTGCCTGCATCTAGGAAAACTGACCATTATTTCAGGTAACTTTCATTCTAGAACTGCAAAGATGGCTCGAAATTATTAAGTTTGTTAATAAAAGAAATGCATAACCTTGTTAGGATTATGATCTCAATACATGCCCAACCTAATAGTGGGATGTTTTCTCATAGTTTTTCTCTCTTTTCTTTTCTTTTTTTATTTTCTGTCTCCCATCTCCTCCCTTACCCTCCTTTTCTCTTCTCTCTACCTCTGCCTCTTCCTCTACTTTGATCTTTACCACTCCTCAGTTATATCAAGCAAATGGATAGTCAGAATAATGCTTAAAATAAAATAGTACAGTAGTTAAAACAGTAGAGTACAGTAGTTAAAACAAGTCTTCAGAATTTTTAGGACCTGAGTTGAAATGCCATTTTGGTCATTTACCAGCATTGCAACCTGCAGTCAGGATACTTAACTATTCTAAGCTTCAAATTCCTTATCTGTAAAGTAAGACAATAGTCTGGTGTATTAAGAATGAATAATCTAAGCAAACAGACAGTTTTCAGTACCTAAAACTTTCAGTGCTTGGTTATGGAAGATCTTGAAAAAGATAATATTTATAAACCCAAATAGGCAGTTAACAGAAATGCAGTTATCTCAGACACTGATTATCAGATAAATACCAGCTAAGGCAGCAGCCAGGTTTTTAGAATGGAGGACAAGATCCTGACAAAGAAAAAGACAATCTGACACTGAATTCCCTACACCAAGTTAGAGTCTCAAAATGAATTCGGACCTAGGATAGGCTGAGCTATGCTGACACTGGTAGAGAAAAAAGAGGATAAGTTATAGAAAACTTGGTAGGCTGATATTATGTGTATAGCTTGATAGGATTTGTTGTATTATTTAAGTTCCCAATGGCTAATTTTATTAAATGGATATTTTATTAAATCACTACTGTAAGATAGGATAAAATATTTGAGAGGAAATGAGAGGTCTTAAGTGAATTTTTTTCATCATTAATTCATTTAACAATTTACTCATTCATCTATTAACAGTATACTATGTACTGGTTCTATACTAGGAACTGAAATAGGGAATATAAAGAATATAAAATATATCTGCCTTTAAGAACATTTGCATCTATTGGAAGAAATTGTAAATAAACATAATTACAATATAATTTTATGGTTCCATATTAGAAGTTTGATTAAACTACTTTGAGGCTTCAGGGAGGAATTCTTGTAGAGGAGATGGCATTGAATTGGGCACTAAATGGAAAGTACAAGTTTTCTAGGCATAGGAGTTGGAAACATATACCAAAGATAAAAGAGGCCGGGCGTGGTGGCTCACGCCTGTAACCCCAGCACTTTGGGAGGCCGAGGCGGGCAGATCACGAGGTCAGGAGATCAAGGCCATCCTGGCTAACACGGTGAAACCCCGTCTCTACTAAAGAAAAAAAAAATTAAAAAAAATTTAGCTGGGTGTGGTGGCGGGCGCCTGTAGTCCCAGCTACTCGGGAGCCTGAGGCAGGAGAATGGCGTGAGCCCAGGAGGCGGAGCTTGCAGTGAGCCGAGATCACGCCACCGCACTCCAGCCTGGGTGGCAGAGCAAGACTCCGTCTCAAAAAAAAAAAAAAAAAAAAAAAAAAAAAGATAAAAGAAATAGCTTGTGTAATTCAGCACAATGGAAATTCCTTTCTCTGTATTAATATAACAATCAACCACTGAGGGGGAAAAGTAATGTGCATTGCAAATACTTACACAAGCAGCTCAATATTTATGGACAGAACAAAAGTTACTTGGTAAGAAATAAAATCCTGATCTTACTTGTGTGATATTACTGACTGTGACAGGCAGAATAACGCTTCCCGCCCCATTCGACAGATATCCATGGCAAAGGGGAATGAAAGAATCAGATGAAATTAAGGTGACTAATCAGCCAACCTTGTAATAGAATTTTCCTGGACTATCTGGGTGGACCCAGTGAATCACAAAGTTCCTTAAATGTCAAAAATGGGAGACAGAAGATGACTCAGAATCAGAGAGATGCAGCATGAGGAAGACTTGAGATAGGCCATTGCTGGTTTTGAAGATAGACGGGGTCTACAAAGCCCAGTAATGCAGGCAGCTTCTAGAAGTTCAAAAGGTAAGTAAACAAACTGTCCCTTATAGCCTTCAGAAAGAACTCGACCAGGCCATCATATTGATTTTCTTTCCATGAGACCCATTGCTGACTTCTGACTTCCAGAGTTGTTAAGATACTAAATGTGTGCTGTTTTAAGCCACCGAGTTTGTGGTCATTTGTTACAGCAGCAATATGAAACTAATAAACTATAACTTTTTAAGATATAGCAGTACATATATATATATAATATATATAAAATGTATGAATTTTTAGTACATATTTACGATAGTCTAGATCACTAGTCCAACCTTTTTGGCACCAACAATTGGTTTCATGGAAGACAATTTTTCCATGGATAGGGGACTTGTTTCAGGATGAAACTATTCCACCTCAGATCACTAGGCATTAGGTTAGATTCTCATAGGATCACACAACCTAGATCCCTTGTACGTGCAGTTCACAATAGGGTTTGCACTCATATGAGAATCTAATGTCTCCACTGATCTGACTGGAGGCAGAGCTCAGGTGGTAATGCCTGCTTGCCCATCGGTCATCTCCTGCTTTGTGACTGGTTCCTATTGGTCTGTGGCCTGATGGTTGTGGACCCCTGGTCTAGATCATCTGTAAAGTCTATTATTTTAATATGAATATAGGTAATTTTCATCCTAGTTAGAGCATATGCAGATATAGGTATCCAACAATAGTGTATTATATAAGAAGTATTCATTTTTAAAATAATTTTTATTTGATCAGTGCCTCTTGATATTCTAGCAATTGACAAATTTCAAATAAAGTCCAAAACTCATTCTGTGGAATTCAAACTCAAGAAGTAGAAAATATTCTTCATTTTGCATTTTATTACTTGCTCAATTTTTGACCACTTCCGGTACCTTACTTCCTGTAAAATGGAGTCTAAGTTTTTCCTCATCATACAGGCAACACATAACCGAATACGTATAGTTTCTGTACCCTCAGGGTCTAGCACAAGGCCTCTGCTCTTTCAGCTGAGATTTCAGGACATTTGTCTCTCCTCAACTCCCAATACTTTGCACTTTTCCAGGCCGTGTGCAAATACAACCAGTGTCACTATTCCCATAGCTTTCCATAGTCATAAGAAAATATTCCCAGCCCCCAGTACCTTTACATAAAATCTTATGCATAAGAGAACCTCAATTAATGCTTGTTAATTGTTCTGCATGACTCACCACATTCAAGAAAGTAGCAGAAATGGTGAGAAATGAAACTTTTAAAACTAATATCACTAAGTGACCAGGCCCATGGGAAAGAGCAAGAAAAATGGGGACAAAAAAGGGCTAATGCTAACAAGAGAGTACACCATTGTCAGGTTTATTCCTGTGGGCATTATTACCAAAAATTATGACTAATCAGTCTTTAGCATGGTGTGGTAACTGACATGGCTCCATTTTTCCACTTAGCTCTATTGTTGAAGTTTCTGTCTCTGGCAAAGACACTTAGGGGAGAAAAGTGAACTTAATTCCCCTACCCTTAATTATGCTTTGACAATTTTGCTCAGCATTTTTAAAGCTTCAGGCTTAAAGGTGGCTGCCGAAGTCTTTCTTGTTAAGCAGGTCCTAACTAGTCTAAATAAACCTTTATTCTTAATAAGAAGCATATGCAACATAATTTTAATAAAATAAGTTTAGCCTACAAGAATCAATGTTTGTTACATATTCTGACATAAGGCTTCCCATCAGATTTACTAAAGTAAAATAAACTATGTGAGAAAAAGAAGACGTGTTCATGTACAAAGACATAAACCGACTGCTAATAATATAACTGAAGAGCTTCAAAGCAGATAATTTCCTTAGCTGAGAATCTGACATCAACAGTTTCTCAGAATATTCAAATTATATCTATCTTCAAAATTTTTGCTATTAGTTATAATTTAATCCTTTCATCTGGCAATTGTTTACCTTCTAATTTCTGTGCTATGTATCAGCCACTAACCAAAGGGACACAAGTAAGTTTCTGCTAAAACACATTGTACCTTTCCTTCTTTCTTTTGGAATGCATTTTAAAGTGGTATTCATTATATTCCTAAGCTATTGAGAATATCTTTATTGTAGGCAAGACCAAATTGAATTATCTTATTTACTCCTAATTATTATCCAAATTTTAATTTGTGCCATCAACATGCCAATTTTTCCTAAGGAAATAACAATAAATAATAGAATATCTGCCAAATTACTTATGTGTGGTATGAAAACTGCAGTGAAAAAAAGGCTAAATTTATATCTTAAAAAAATCAAAATATTTGTTTATTTTACTCATTTTATTGCATCTGTCAGCATGGCTACTTAATGCATCCACATGGTACAATAAAAACAGTAGTTGAATTACACATTTTACGAAACAAAAAATAACAACATAAGCCCAATATCATTATAAAACACTTAAGTCTAATATTATTTTAGCACTATAGAGTCACCAAGGAAAACAGTCATTTCCAAAGAATTTCATGCATGGCAAAATTAATTGCATTTAATTCCTTATTACATTTTATTTGATACAACATGGTACCATTAACTGGGTGGCTTCTAAACAATTGAAAGTTATTTTTTTCAATTCTAGAGGCTGGGAAGTCCAAAATCAAGGTGTCAGCAGATTCAGGGGCTAGTGAGGGCTTTCTGGTTCACAGACAGCAATCTTCCCTCTGAGTGCTCACATGTTGGAAGGGATGAGAGCATTTTCTGAGACCTGTTTTATAAGGGCACTAATAACATTCATAAGGGCTTTATACTGAGGACCTAATCATAGTAATAGGCTCGACTTCCTAATATTGTCACATTGGAGGTAAAAATCTCAAGGTGAATTTTCAGAGAACATAAATCTTCAGTCTATAGCATGCATATTGATATGATTCAACCTCTAAAATTCAATGGTTATTTAAGTAGATGATATGGTTTGGCTCTGTTTCCCCACCCAAATCTCATGTTGAATTGTAATTGCCAGTGCTGGAGAAGGAGCCTGGTGGGAGAGTGATTCAATCATGGGGACAGACTTCCATCTGCTGTTCTCGTGACAGAGTTCTCTCAAAATCTGGTTGCTCGGAAGTGTGTAGCACTTCCCCCTTTTCTCTCTCTCTCTCTCTCTGTCTCCCTCTCCTTCTGCCATTTGAAGACATACTTGCTTCCCCTTCACCCTTATGCCATGATTTTAAGTTTCCTGAGGCCTATCTAGGCATGCCTCCTGTATGGTCTATGGAACTATGAGTCAATTAAACCTATTTCCTTTATAAATTACTCAGTCTCAGGTAGTTCTTTAAAGCAGTGTGAGAATGAACTAATACAGTAGGCAATTTCAAAATACAACAGATGGAACTATTGCCAGATAAACTGAACTCATGCTGAATCCATATATGATAGCTTCTCATATTCACGGTCTATCTCAAATGAGCACATTAGTAGTAAATCATAGTCTTTGAATTTCACCTGGGTTACTAACTTCTTATTTTAAAAAACGTGTTCACACTTATAGGTAAACTGTGAAGTAATATTTGAAATTATGTAAAAAACAATAAAAATGAGTATAATGGAGTTTATATGAAATGATAATACTAAGTAAGAAATAAACACTGAAGTGCTATACATGAGATCAGTTGCTTAAATTATCATTGATAATGATATTATATCAAAAATATAACAGTGTGAATTCCCAGCCAGATTCAGTATCTGATGTATATATCACGTATTTTAAAACCTTAATATTGGTGTGCACAAGAATGATGGTGTGATTGTTACCTCTGCTATTATCTCACACCAAGGTTTTTCAAATTATTGAGAGCAACAGGTGTTCAGGAACAGAACACCATCCAACTGAATACATGTTGGTTTCAACTGTTTTCAAATAAAACTGCCCTGGCATCTTTTGACAGAAAAAATGTTTCAGTGATGCCAATCTACTCTGAAGTGGATTCTCAAACCAAGATTGAGGTTATAATGACTCAGTTTCTTAAAATTCTTTTTGTTTGAAGAAACATATAAATATTTTTTTCCTTCCTTATAATTAAGCCCTTTATTGGCTATAAAATTTTGCTAGCAGTAGTTCAACACCTATCCTTTACATACAAATTAATTCAGAACTCTTCCCATGTTCTGTACCTGAACTCTACCGCAGTATTCAAGCTTATCCTACAGAATCCTCACTTTGGCCAATTAAGGAAAGCAATCCAAATGTATATATCCTTCAGATTTCCAGGGCCCTGTTTAACTCAGTGATACACAAAGTGAAACCTTAAATTCAATAGTCCAAGATAATATTTTAATAGATGCTCAGAAAATGGTGTCCACAAAATTTCTTAAATGAATCCTTTGATTAAAGTAAGCAAAACAGACTATGACCCAATATCTGAAGGCATGGTAAAATAAGCCATTTTACAAAGAAAATTTTCTATCAGTACTACTTAAAGAACCCCAAAACAGGAGAAATCCAAGACACCAACCTGGAAAAAATGAAAAACTAATTGAAATTTAAATTTAAGACAGAAAATGAATGTGTGAACTGTAGAAGGAAGAAGAGGTATGCCATTATTTTTAGTATGTATTAATGTTGACAAGTTCTTTATCTTGTACCAACCTTTCTGAAATGATTTGGACAGTGTGTGAGAATAATTTGAACAGCAATATGATGCTAATAGACAACATGAAAGTATTTGCTAATGTTTTCCTCTTGAAATATTTTTCCCAGAGGTCTACTATGTCTAAGAGATATTGCATATCTTTTAACACAAATTAAGCAAAATTCATTTTGACTTTAATTTATGTAAAAATAATTTTATTTGTCTTACCAGGATATAATTCTCATTTTTCTTACTATGTGAGCATTCATCATCCATCAGTAATGCTGTCTGCAATAGTCAAATAATAGGTATACTATTTATTCTAAATTTATCTTGACTGAACCAAGAGAAAAAAATATTGACACCAAATAATAATATATAAACATATATATAAAGTCTTGTTTGGTAGTTGATATCTCAATTTAGAATTTACTTTTAGTGTTTTTATCCATTATTTTGTAAAATACTTTTAAAAAACATAATTCTTTGAAGTTAATTTAAATATGGTGACATTTAATGGAAATTTCCAAACTTAACGGAAATTAAAATAGCATTGAGGGATATAGTGACGAAGGCGGAGCAATATGGCTGAATAGAAGCCTCCAGAAATCATTCCCCCCAACCAGGAACAACAAATTGAACAACTGTCCACACAAAAAAGCACCTTCATAGGAACCAAAACTCATGTAAGTAATTACAGTACCTGGTTTTAACATCATATCGAGTAAAGAGGCACTGAAGAGGATAAGAAAGACAGTTTTGAATTACCTACACCACCCTTCCCCTATTCCTAGCAGTAGTCAGCCACCTGCCGTGGAGAGAGAATCTGTGTGCTTCAAGGAGGTACAGTGCACTAATTGTGGAACTTAGCATTGGAACACAGTGCTGCCTGGTCACAGTGGAAAGTGACTCAGGGCAGAGCTCAGTTGGTGACATGGAGGGAACATTCAGATTAGCCCTAGCCAGAGGTGAATTACTCATCCCAGCAATTGGAACCTGAATTCCAGTAAGCCCCACTACCACAGGCTAAAGAGCTTGGGGGTACTAAATAAACTTGAAATGCA